>NC_000013.11:113880847-114038674 GCF_000001405.40 Homo sapiens
GCAGCTCCAGGCAGGAGCATCCAGCTACCTTCGCAGGAAGTGGCCTCACTAGAGTAGAGGTGATGGGGTGGGAGCCGAGCCTCAACACGGGGGCCCTGGTGCGCATCCCTCTACCTCCTCAGAGGAGCCCACAGTCCAGCCTCCATCACACAGCCCAGAACGTGCCCTGGAAGAGCAACAAAACCTGGAGGCTCTGGCTGGAATGACCAGGGCTACAGCGTGCATGAAAAACAGATGACCGTGTTCTGTGGCAGCTGCTGCATGTGGGGGCCTCTTTGTCACAGCAGCTTAGACTTGGCCCTGAGCAGCACAGGGCAGGGTTGAGATGTGAGTCCGGTGTCTTGGACCTCAGACTCCTATGATGCTGCGAGGCCGCTGGTGGCTGGACTGTGGGGACCCACAGCCTCTCACACATTCACTCAACAGCCCCATGTTGTGCCTCCCTTGCTGGCCATGTCTGAGGCAAGCAACCACGGTCCCCATGGCCCTGGTGCCCTCACCCTATGGTGCCAGCTCAGCCATGTGGGTGTCTCCAGGATGCCATCGCCAGGGAGTTCACATGAGGTCAGCCTGCCAGTTGGGGCTGCGAAAGTCGGGCTCACATCCTGGCCAAAGCCTCAGAGTTGATGCTTCCTGTGTCTGTGTCTGAGAAATGAAAAAAACACAATAGGACAATGCTAATAAAAGGACCTTTAACATCTGGGGAGGAGAAGCGGCCAGGTGTTTTTTGAGTTAGAGGAAAATTACCCTAAAGGTTTTGCCACTTGTTTGACATTTTTGGGCTTGGTTCCCACAACCCAAGAGGGCCTGGCCTCCAGGCAGGGACATGTCTGTTCTAAGAGTGACTGTGTGAGAGCCCAGCCATGCCTGAAAATGGCAACAAGGTCGCCACACACTCCCTCCACCTTCCAAAATGAAACCAGGTTCTTGGGCCAAGCAAGAAAACTGGAATGCTGGCACAGGAGGTGTTTTCGACCTGCCTGCTTATCTAAGTTTCACATGCAGCTCCATTCATCATAGCAAGTGGTTTCCCTGCTGAACAAGGCAGGCAGGTCTGACAAACACAGTGGCTGCCAGATTCAGCAACACCGCTGATGGGTGGGGGACCATGCCTGTCTTTCCTTGTGATGGGGGAGAGACTAGTGTTTGGAGTTTGAGTGGGTTAGATGGCCCCCGAGGGCTCAGGATGGGCATCCTGGGGAAGCTCAGGGTTCCTGGGGCCTCTGTGCACACTGAGCCTTCCTCTCGAAGTCTTTGAAGTGCACTGTGTGCTTCATTTGTTTAGCTCTAAACTCTTAAAGCTGGCAGGCGTGTCTAAGTGTGCTGATGGCCTCCATTTAATAGGAGAGGAGAATGAAGGCGAAGATCATCCAGATGGACATGGAGAAGATTCTCAAACACGCGTGTCCCTCGGGACTCTGAGACCGAAGAATCACCACAGGAAATCCCACTCTCAGGACTCTGTGTTCCTTCAGGAAGAAGCCTGCACAGGACATTGGCTGAAGCCACCACCTGTGACCCTGTGAGAGCTGGGCTGGAGGGAGCCGAGTTCACAGTGAGAGTGACCTCAGGGCAGGCACAGGGCAGGCTGCCGTCCCTCGCTGGTGCTGTTTATAGTGAGTTCCAACACAACGCGAGAGACCAGCACAATGGCCCCGTGTTCCTGCCAAGGCCAGCACCCCACCCGCTTCCTCACTGGGCTATTTTAAAACAGTTCCAGACATCATATTATTTTATCCATAAACACTTCAGAAAGTATTCTCAAAGATAAGAACCAAACACCCCACCCAACCCCAGTTCTGTATTTATGCCTAAAATAATTGATGGTGACTCCTTAATGCCACCAGATATCAGCGCCCAGGACTCCCTGGCATCCCACAGGATTTTTAAGACTCTGTTTTTTCCAACCAGGAAAAAATCCTTGGTTCTCTCCGCTTCTTCCTCTCGTGACTTGTCTTTTGTCCCGTGGTGTCCCCAGGTCTGGACTGTGCCCTGAGCTGCCGGCATCCTCCCCACACCCCCGTCTCTCCTGCAAGGGCGCGGATCCCGGCATCATCATCTGCGATTCGCGGCCAGTTTTGGCGGGAACACAACACCGGAGGGGGCTCTGCCTGCACAGAGGACCCGGGTCAGACGGCCTCTCTCGGGTGCCGCAGGCCTGGCCATCTCCCTGCACCGGTGATTCCATTGTGGGGCTTCGGAGGGAAGATGCTCCGATTCTGTGTCTCCTTTCTTCACCTGTGAGCTGTAATACTTTTCTGAAGAGGGATTTTTTCTCATCAACTATTTGGTCATCCTGAGGTACCGCTGGTTTTTAGCATGTCCAAAGGTGACTTGGGTCATTGTTGCTATTTTTAGTATCGTTATAACTCCTGGATCTTACTGCATTCGAGGCGTTTCAACCCATTGCAGATGTTCTAATGGTCTCATCCTTGGCCGATGGTGGCCCGCGTGCGCTGCCTCAGCGTCCCCATGTCCCTCACTGCCCCGCGCATGCATCCCCTCAGCGCCCCACGTCCTTCAGCACCCGCCGCATGAGTCCCCTCAGCGTCCCCCGCCTGCGTTACCTCAACACTCCCACGTCCCTCAGCGGCCCCTGCGGGCGTCCCCTCAGCACCCCCAACGTCCCTCAGCGCCCCCACGTCCCTCGGCGCCCTCCAAGTCCCTCGGCGCCCCCACGTCCCCCAGCGTCCCCGCGTGCGTCCCCTCAGTGCCCCGTCGTGCGTCCCCACGTCACTAACAGGTCCTACGTGCGTGCTCACGTCACTCGAGTCCCGCGTACGCCCCTCAGCGGCCCTGCGTGCATCCCTCAGCAACCCCACGTCCCTCAGCGCCCCCGCGTGCGTCCCCACGTCACTCAGGGGCCCTGCGTGCGTCCGCTCAGTGGCCGGGTGTATGTCCCCTCAGCGGTCCAGCATGTAGGTTGTGTGGTGTTGCTTTTCGAGGTGGTTTGTGATGCTTGGTAAGTTTCCTGCTTGGGATTCTTATGGTTGAAGTGGAGTGAATGGAGTTACCAAAAAAAGGAACAGGGTCACTCTTTCTGCCTTAATAACGTTTCCCCCAGATTTTCCTGCAAGAGTGGAAGGAAGAAACGTTGAGGTGCGCTCCCCTCCCTCCACAGGGTTTCTTCCTGGACAGCGCCCCGTCTTGCCCTCACGGGAACTGGGACAGATGCGGTTGTCCCCCGACCCCCTCCTCGCGAGGCTCCAGCACCGGCTGTGTGGGCCACCAGGCCTGCCCCACATGGACAGGGCTGCGGAGGGGCTGGCTCCACAGCCCACGGCGGGGCCTCTGGCCAGGTTCTCCCTCCCCTGGCAGTGGCTGTGACGCTTATGCCCAGTTGGACAGCCCAGACCAGGCTCGGAGCCCCATCCCCTCCAAGGCGGGCCGGGGTAGATTCACGCCAGCGTCTCCCTTGAGGCCAGGCTCTGGCATAGGAGAGTGATTCCTCTGGGAGGTCCGGGGTCCCGAGCCCCGGGAATGCCGGCTGAGGGGCACGCGACCCCTCTTCACGGAACCCTCATGCGCTGAGGCGGCCGCAGAGGCCCGGTGACCAGCAGGGCGCCCGATGGTGGGCGGGGGGCCAGCGCGCGGGGGCGCCGGCAGCCGGGAGGACAGCGGGGTGCTGGGTTTCTTAGGGAGGGTCTGCCTGCTCCCTGCTACCCGGCCATCCCAGGGCCCGGCCAGCGCCTGCTGCTCTCTCCACCCACCCGCCCCTGGCCCCTGCCCGCGAAGGCCTCTGCTGTTTCAGCAGGAGGCTCTGTGAGTCTCGGTGCAGCTGTGAGCTGCATTGCCCAAGTGCAGGTGCCCGGCAATGTCCTCCACAGCCGTGTCCTCACTCCCAGCATCGTGGGCACATGGTCCATATTCAGTGTTTATTGAATGAAAGAAAGAATTAGCCTGACTTTGTTGTTGTTGTTATTATTGACTTAAAACAACACAAATCTGTCGTTTTACAGTTCTGAAATGGCAGCGTTGCCCTCTAGGCTCTGTCGGGAGGCACTGGGGGGTCCATCTCTGTCTCCCTTGGTTCCTGCCCCTTAACCCATCCTCACAGCCACAGCACAGCAGTGTCCAGTCTCTGCCTCAAGCCTTTCCGTCCTTAGGAGGACCCTGCAGGTTACCTGGGCCCCACCAGGTCATCAGGAGCATCTCCCATCTCAAGATTCATCACCGAGTTCCCTATGCAGAGTCCCTGGTGCGGTGTAAGCAAGCAATCCACAGGTTCCAGCGGGTGGGGTGTGGATATCAGGCATGCGTGTTCTTCCAAGCTTGCAAAAGTTACACAAATGTATGCCATGAGGGTTAGAGGTGAGGACATAACTCCAAAGCAGACTCCAGGTCTTCCCAGGCCACACATTCTCTTCCCATCATTAATTGGAATTGGAATTCGTTTTTGTGCCATAGCGTATGTTTCAAAGTCACGTTCAGGTGAATCATTAAATGCTACCAACCATAGACAATAAAATAATAAAATCTAAAAGTTCATGTAAGAAGTCGCTTTTTAGAACCCCAATATTCCAGGTGCTGGGGTTGCTTCTGTTGTTCTTACTCAGAAGCAGTCTTTGCTTCAATATGCTTTTCTTATCTGAGGAATTTGAGCCCTTTAAAAATATCAGGCCCTGGGAGACATTAAAACGAGACCACTGGCTGCACACAGTGGCTCATGCCTGTAATCCCAGCACTTTGGGAGGCCAAGGCGGGCAGATCACAAGGTCAGGAGTTGAAGACCAGCCTGACTAATATGGTGAAACCCCGTCTCTACTAAAAATACAAAAATTAGCCGGGCATAGTGGCAGGCACCTGTAGTCCCTTGGGAGGGTGAGGCAGGAGAACTGCTTGAACCCAGGAGGTGAAGGTTGCAGTGAGCTGAGATCGTGCCACTGCACTCCAGACTGGGCAACAGAACAAGACTCCGTTTCAAAAAAAAAAAAAAAAAAAAAACAAGACCGCAGCCACTTCCCACTCCCCCTTGAGCTGTGGGTTCATCCCTTGGAACAGCGCAAATGAAGCCCACAATGCTGCATGCTGGACTCCATAACCCATGCCCACAGCTCAACAATGTGTAGCTCATCACTAAGCAGTGTTACTTCTGTAAACCAATGATATATT
This sequence comes from Homo sapiens, assembly GCF_000001405.40. Taxonomy (NCBI): domain Eukaryota; kingdom Metazoa; phylum Chordata; class Mammalia; order Primates; family Hominidae; genus Homo; species Homo sapiens. The sequence continues at coordinate 113,885,960 of NC_000013.11, forward strand.
TTTTAACTGTAATTATTAGGTAAAATTAACACTACTTTACAATTATATGTATCACTTTACATTTTACAAAGTTATTAAGTAGACATTCATTTTGATGCCCTGAAGTAAATTTAACTTCTTTGCCCTCCTTCTCCCCTCCATCAAGAACAGAGTGAGGAATACTTAGTTGGGAAAGGCAAAATAAATGCATCAGTCTGTACAGAACCACAAAGAATAAATGGGAGGAAGGCAGGACCTTGAAGAGGCCACAGGGACCTCAAGGAAGGAGAAAACCAGAACGTTAAACACGAGGAAAGCCCAGGGGTCACAGGAGCGTTAGGCACCATACGGAGCAGGCTGTGTTCATGACATAAAAGGAGGGACACACAGCATAAATTTCACATTCTAAAATAATATGAAAAGACCATAACTGAAGAGCTGAAGTTGAACTTTGTGGTTTCTCAGAACACAAGTAGATGATGACCACCAACCATGGTTTCTAAATGAACTGGGTTCAAAATGTATCTGGTGGCAACAGAGGGCTTCTTTGGACCCTGGCATTAGAAGCATAACAAGGTAATTTGAGGAGCTGCTATTTCACAAGGTGGTGGCATCCCGGGGAGCTTCTATTCCATGAGTCAAGTTCAATATCTCACCACCGTGGAAAAGGAGTTTCCAAGCAGGAACGAGCAGTATCACTGGGAAGCCGATATTTGGGCCATCCTTGGAGATCCCTGCTGTGAGGACGGCAGGTGTTCCTCCCGTGAAAGCACTAAACTGGGTGTGACTCAGGGCCAGGTGGGAATTCACACATGTATCTGGTTGATGGCAAGGCGGAGACGTGTGCCCCCGTGAGTCCTGTTCCATGTTGGTCTGCATGAATGGAGGCTCTGCAGACAGACCCTCGGACTGCATCTCCAAAGACTGAACCTGGACCCTGGGGGGTCCTGCTGCCTCCTGGTATTTCAAGGACGATGACCATCACGAGGGGAAAGGCGGGCCTGGCCACCGTCCTGTCACTGACACACTTGCTCCTGGTAAGAATTCCTGATGAACAACTTGGTGTCAGGCCAGTCCCTGAACCCCCTTTTTGCCTTTGAAAACCTGCTTGCAACAAAGGGCCCAGGGGGCACTCCCCAAGGCAAGCTGGGCATACGTTGGGGAAAGTCATCCTCAGCTCAGTGCAAATAAATCACATTAGTTTTGCCTCAGTTTCTTCCTTTAGTTTGGTAACAGAAAAATTGAGCAGTAAGTACAGTGTCCCCATGTGTTCCCTCCCCACCACCACAGTTTTCCCTAAGAGCTTGCAGGCTGGGCTTGGTGGCTCACACCTATAATCCCAACACTTTGGGAGGCTGAGGTGGGAGGATGACTGGAGGCCAGCAGTTTGAGACCAGCCTGGGCAACAAAGTGAGACCCCATCTCTACAAAAAAAAAAAAAAATTAGCTGGCGTGGTGCATGCCTGTACTCCCAGCTACTTGGGAGGTTGATTGCTTGAGCCCAGGAGGTCGAGGCTGCAGTGAGCTAAGATCACACCACTGCACTCCAGCCTGGGTGACAGAGTGAGACCCTGTCTCTAAAACAATAATAATAAACAAATGACAGCTTGCATGAGTGTGACCCATTTGTTACAATAGGTGAAGCTACACTGAGACATTACTGTCACCCAAACTCCATGGTCTGCACTACACCCACTCTGTGTGTTGGATGGATATGTCACGGCTGTGTCCACCACTCTAGCATTGCAGCCGCCTCAGTGCTTTAAACTCATCTGTGCTCCCAATTCACCCCTCCCTCCTCCCTCACCCCTGGCAACCACTCCTCTCTTACTGTCTCCATAGTTTTGCTTTTCCCAAAATATCATATGGTTGGAATCACAGTGTGCAACCATTTCAGATTGGCTCCTTTTACTTAGCAAACACAGCTACAGTTCCTTCATGTCTTTTCTGGGCTTGGCAGCGCATTTTGTTTTGTCACTGGCTAGTATTCCATTGTCTGGGTGAACCAGTTTCCTTATCCATTCACCCATGAAAGGTCATCTGGTTGCTTCCAAGTTTGGCAATTATGAATAAAGCTGCTATAAACATTTGTGTGCACATTTTTGTGTGGTTTTGAACTCATTTGGGTAATCTCTTGGAGCATAATTTCTGGGTTGTATGGCATGATCTTGTGATGTACATTTGGTCCTTTTCCCATTTCCCAGACATACAGCTCCTAAAGCCTTGGAATCTGTGGAGTGACAACATCTTTTGTGTGCTAATGAGATGACTGGGGGCTGGGGACGCCTGGACAGCCTCAGGATGGAGCAGGTCACCAGAGGAACCAGCCATGTGCATAGAGGGTTGGAACTTGTGGTCCCATCCCCAACCTCTAGGGAGGGGAGAAGGCTGAAGGTCAAGTTGATCACCAGTGGACAGTGATTTAACAAATCATGCCTACATGATAGCCTCCATAAAATCCCAAAAGGACAGAGTTCAGAGAGCTTCTGGTTGGTGAGTACATGGAGGTCCCTGGAGTGGTGCCCACAGAGAGTGTGGAAGCCCTGCACCCCTTCCCACGCGCCTCTCCCGGTGCATCTCTTCCAAATGGCTATTCATTTACATCCTTTTATCATGCGTGAGTGAACATAAGTAAAGTGTTTCCCTGAGTTCTGTGAGCCATTCTAGCAAGTAATCTAACACAAGGAGGGCCATGAGAACCCCGCATTAATAGCCAGAAGGTTGGAAGCACTGGTGAAATGACCTGGGACTTGCAATTGGCATTGGAAATAAGGGCCATCTTGTGAGGCAAATACCTCAACCTGCAGCATCTGTGCTAACTTTAGTTAGTGTCAGAATTAAATTGAATTATGGGGCACTGTTGGTGTGCACTGGAGAATTGCTTGGTGTGAAACCACTGTTGCAAAATTGTGACAGTAAGAGAAATCTAACATTGTTGACTCCATCTTGCTTCTGACCTCCAAGCTCTCTTTGGTCATTTCTGGGTGTAGGCCAAGCTAACTTCAGGAGGAATTATAGTTCCACTTGAAAGCAAGGATAATAATAGTCCCTCCCTAAAACTAACTCCTTCCTTGCTCAAGGACTGAAAACCGCCTTTGTAAGACTATTGAAAGCTACAAGAATAGGATTATGGGAGGAACTGAAATCTGCTGAGATGTAGGCATGCTTTCTATAACCCCTTACTGCTCAGGAGTCATGTGAGCAGAGGTCACAAGACTTGTGTCTTTACCAATTGCTTCTATAGATTGGGGTCCCCAACAGGTACTACTCCATGGCCTGTTAAAAACCAGGAGGCACAGCAGGAGGTGAGAGGCAGGCGAGCAAGCATTACCGCCTGAGCCCTGCCTCCTGTCAGATCAGCGGTGTCATTAGATTCTCATAGGAGTGCAAACCCTATTGTGAACTGCACATGAGAGGGATCTAGGGTTGTGAGCTCCTTATGAGAATCCAATGCCTGATGATCTGAGGTGGAATAGTTTCATCCCAACACCTTCCCCCACACCCTCTGGTCTGTGGAAAAATTGTCTTCCTCAAAACCTGTCTCTGGTGCCAAAAAGTTTGGAGACCACTGCTATAGATAACATCATTACTGTAGAACCTAAGATTGGTTTTTGAGATGTTTTTAGATTGACCCCACCTGGACTCCTGTCTCATGACTAGGCTGGTCCTGTGGCCCCACCCAGAGGCTGACTCAGCACATGAGGACTGTTTTCCACGCTCCTGTGATTTCGTCCCCAACCACTTAGCAGCACCCAATTCCATAACCCCCTGTCCACCTAATTGTCCATAAAAACCCTAACCTCTAAGCCTTTGGAGAGACTGATTTAAGGGATAGCTCCAGCTCTCCCGTGTGGGCCGGCCTCACATCAATCAAACTCTTTTCTCTACTACAATGCCATGGTCTCATGAATAGATTTTGTCTGTATGGCAGGCAGGAAGAACCCGTCAGGCAATTACAGGTGTGTGGAGAAAGCCCCTCCACATTTTGAGGACCAGAAGTGTTCTGTGTTGACAGTATAGCAGGAGAAGAAAGTTTGGTTTGTTTTCATTATATATATGTGGTAAAGGTTGCTTAGTTTTATAAGAAACTGCCAAATGTTTTCCAAAGCAGTTGCAACATTTTGCACTCCCACCAGCAATGAACAAGAGTTTCTGTTGCTCCTAATCTTTCCTAGCATTTGGTGTTCATATTTTATACTTTAGCCATTCTAATGGGTGTGTAGTAGTAGCTCATTGTGGTGTTTGTTTGTTTGTGTTTGTTTGAGATGGAGTTTGCTGTGTCATTCAGGTTGGAGTGTGGTGGCATGATCATGGCTGACCACAGACCCAATCTCCTGGGCTCAAGCAATCCTCCCACCTCAGCCTCCTGAGTAGCCAGGACCACAGGTGTGTGCCACCATGCCCAGCTAATTTTTAAATTTTTTGGTAGATGGTGTCTCACTATGTTGCCAAGGCTGGTCTTGAGTTCATTGCCTCAAGCAATCTCCTGCCTTGGCCTCCTTTAGCACTGGGATTACAAGAGTGAGCCATGGGCCTGGCCTCATTGCTGTTTTAATTTGTAATTCTCAAATGACATACGATGTGCAGCATCTTTTCATGGGCGTAATTGCCATCTGTATATTTTCTTTGGTGAGGTGTCTGTTCAGATCTTTGGCCCACTTTTTAACTGGGTTGTTTTTTTCCTATTGTCAAATTTTAAGAGTCTTTTGTACATTTTAAGTTCCATTCCTTTATCAGGTATGTGTTTTGTAAATATTTGCTTCTAGTCTGTGGCTTGTCCTTTCATTCTCTCAACAATGTCTTTAACAGAGCAGTTTTTAATTTTGATGGAGTCCAGCTTATCAATTCTTTCTTTTATGGATTGTAAACCAAAAATAAAATCCTAAGCCCCCCAACTGACTGAACAGACCCCTCTTGGCCAATAGGATCCCAGAGAAACCTGAAAAACTAAATTCCAGGCCATGATGGGAAGAGAGGTCAGACACACCTCATTATAACCCCTCCCTGTTGGGGTTTAGGCACAGCTAACTAACATTTACATTAAAATAGAGATCATGAAACTGACAGAGAAGACTCTGTGGCAGTAAGATACCAAATTCCAACCGACTCTGGCATAGCATCACATGACAGATAGCAAACCCTGAAGAAAATGAAAATATTTTATCCCATGGTATATTTCTTTGACATATTTGTAAATGGCCCTGCAAAGCCACCTTTTGTAGGGGAAATTCGCATCTGTAGAGAATCTCCATTAATACAGCCAGGACTTCCCCAGATCTAGGAGAGATTAATTGAAACTCTGACAACTTTCAAGGTCCAAAAAGGGACTTTTACCATCCATTCTCTCTGAAGCCTGCTATCTGGAGGCTTCATCTACATAACAAGAACCTTGGCTTCCACAACCCCTCTTATCTTAACTCAAGCATTTCTTTCTACTGACTTCAAGTCTTCAGACAAAGCTTAACTCTTTCAACCAACTGCCAAACAGAAAATCTTTGAATTCACTTATGACCTATAAGCCCCTGCTTCACAATGTCTCACCTTTCTGGGATCAATCAATATATACCTTCTGAGTATTGATTTATGCCTTTGCTTATAATTTCTGTCTCTCTAAAACATATAAAACCAAACCATAACCTGACCACCTCAGACACACTTTCTCAGGACCTCTTAAGACTGTTCCCCAGGCCATGGTCACTCACATTGGCTCAGAATAATCCTTTTAAAATATTTCGCAGAGTTTAGTTTTGTCATCAACAGGATCATGCCTTTGGTGTTGTATCTAAAAAGTTATTGCCATACCCAAGGTCATCTAGATTTTCTCCTATGTTATCTTCTAGGGGTTTTATAGTTTTACATTTTACGTTTAGGTCTATGATCCATTTTGAATAAATTTTTAGTGAAAAGTGTAGAATCAGTATCTAATTTCACTTTTTAAACTTTGCATGTGGATATCCAGTTGTTCCAGCACCATTTGTTGAAAAGACTATCATTTCTCATTTGAATTGTCTTCGTTTCTTTTCAAACATCAGTTGGCTATATTTGTGTGGGTCTTTTTCTGGACTTTCTGTTCTGCTCCAATGATCCATTTGTCTATTATTTCAACAGCACCACATAGTCTTGATTACCATAGCTGTATAGTAAGTCTTGAAGTCAGGTAGTATCAGTTCTGTGACTTTGTTTTTCTTCAGTATTGTGTTGGCTATTCTGGGTCGTTTGCCTTTCTACATAAACTTTAAAATCAGTTTCCTGGTATTCACAAAATAACTTGCTGGAATTTTGAATGGAATATATTGACTCTATAGCAAGTTGGGAAGAACTGGCATCTTGACAATACTGAGTCTTCCTATCCATGAACATGGAATAGTTCTCCATTTTCTTGGATTTTAAAAATTTATTTCATTAAAGTTTTGTAGTTTTCCTTATATAGATCGTATACATATTTTGTTAGATTGCACCTACATATTTTTCTTTTTTTAACTTGGGGCTAATGTAAATGGTTTTTTTTTTTAATTTTAAATTTCAGTTGTTCATTGCTCATATATTGGAAAGCAATTGATATTTTATTTATAGTCCTTGGATTCTGCAATCTTCTTATAGTCACTTATTAGTTTAAGGAGGAGTTTTAAAATTGTTGATTCTTGGGCATTTTCTATCTGAACAATCATGTCATCTGCAAACAAAGAAAATTTTATGTCTTCTAATCTGCATACATTTTATTTACTTTTCTTGTCTTATTGCATTTTAATATGATGTTGAATAGGAGCAAGTGAAAAGAAACATCTCTGCCCTTTCCTAATCTTGGGGGAAAAGTGTCTAGTTTCTCACCATTAAGTATGACATTAACTGTAGGTTTTTGTAGATATTCTTTGTCAAATTGAGGGAGTTCTCTATTCCTAGTTTTTTGAAAGTCTGTATCATGAATGGGTGTTGGATTTTTGTCAAATGTTTTTTATCCATCTACTGATATGATCATATGACTTTTCTTCTTTAGCCTGTTGATGTGATTAATTTCACTACTAATTTTGGATGTTGAACCAGCCTTGCGTAAGTGGAATAAAGCCCATTTGATCATGGTGCAGAATTCTTTTTATACATTGTTGAATTTAATTTGCTAATATTTTGTTGAGAACTGTTGCATCTATGTTCATGAGAGATATTGGTCCTTAGTTTCCCTTTCTTGTACTGTCTTTGATTTTGATATTAGAATAATGCTGGCCTTATAAAATGAATTAGGAAGTATTCTCTCTGTTTCTGTTTTCTGGAGCAGATAGTAGAAAACTGGTATAATTTCTTCCTTAAATGTTTGGTAGAATTCACCAGTAAGCCTTTCTGGTCTTGGTGTTTTGTCTTTGGGAAGATTATCAGTTATCGATCCAATTTCTATAAGAAATATGTCTATTAAGATAATCTATTTCTCCTTGTTGTGAGTTTTGGTAGATTGTGTCTTTCAAGTAACTAGTCAGTTTCATCTAGGTATCAAATTTCTGGGCATAGAGTTGTTCATTATATTCATGTATTATCCTTTTAATGTCCACGGGATCTATAGTGATGTCCCTCTATCATTTCTGATGTTAGAGGTTTGTGTCTTCTCTTTTTTTTTTCTTGACTAGTCTGACTAAAGGTTTATCAATTTTATTAATGTTTTTAAAGAACCAAATTTTGATTTCATTGATTTTCTTTATTGTTTTTCTGTTTTCAATTTCATTGATTTCTGCTCTGATTTTTATTATTTTTTTCTGCTTACTTTACATTTGATTTGCTCTTCTTTTTCTAGTTTCTTAAGATGGAATTTTAAGTTATTTACTTTAGATGTTTATTCTTTTCCAATATATTCATCCAATGCTGTAAATTTCCCTCTAAGCTCTGTTTTCACTGATTCTCACAAATTTTGATAGGTTGCATTTTCATTTTCATTTAGTTCAAAATACTTTTTAATTTCTCTTGAGGTTTCTTTGACCCACATATCGGGCTGATTCTTTTCTTATCAGCTCACTGATGAACCCATTAAACACACTCTTCACTTCTGTTACAGTGTTTATAATTTCTTGCATTTCCTTTTTACACTTTCTTTGCATTTCAATTTTACCTATTCATTTTTTAATATTGTTCACTTTTTCTATTATTAAAGCCCTTAGCACATTAATCATAGGTATTTTAAATTCCCGATCTGATAATTCCTAAATTTCTACCATATCTGAGCTGGTTCTGATGCTCATTTTGTGTCTTCTGACAGTATTTTTTGCCTTTTGGCACGCCTTGTAATTTTTTCTGGAAATCTGGACATGATGTGTTAGACCGAAGAAGCTGAGGTAAACAGACCTTCAGCCTTTGCTGTGAGGTTTTTGTTTATCTGGCTTTCTTTCTTGTCATATTGCACCAACCATGCCCTCTAGGACAATGGTGGAAAGAAATGGTTAGAATGGTCAATCTTGCCTTGTTTCCTATCTTAAGAGGAAACTGATATTTATGTTCACTCTAGGTTTTTAAGAATGTTCTTTATCAGTATGAGATAATTTCCTTCTATTTCAAGCTTCCTGGGTTTTTTCTTTAATCATTAATGGTTGTTGATTTTCAAATGTTTGTTATACATCTGTTGATGATTAGAATTAATCCTTTATTTTCTAATCATATAAATTACATAAATTGACTTTTTTTTTTTTTTTTTTTTTTTTGAGATGGAGTCTGGCTCTGTTGCCCAGGCTGGAGTGCAGTAGAGTGATCTCAGCTCACTGCAAGCTCCGCCTCCCGGGTTCACGCCATTCTCCTGCCTCAGCCTCCCAAGCAGCTGGGACTACAGGTGCCTGTCACCACACCTGGCTAATTTTTTGTATTTTTAGTAGAGACGGGGTTTCGCCATGTTAGCCAGGATGGTCTTGATCTCCTGACCTTGTGATCCACCAGCCTCAGCCTCCCAAAGTGCTGGGATTACAGGCGTGAGCCACCATGCCTAGCCATAAATTGACTTTTTAAAAATTACACTTTACTTTGAAGTATATGTAGATTCACACACAGAAGTAACACAGAAATCCTGTGTCCTCTTCACCCAGCCTCCCCCAATGTCAACTCACAAAGCTACAGAGCAACATCACAATCAGGACACAAACATTAGTGCAGTTGAAGCACAGGACATTTCCATCACCACAAGAACTCCAGTGTTTGCCTGCTTCTATCACACTCCAGTGCTTTTAAGCAGGTTTTCCCCCCATATTTTACCTAAAGTTTATAGCTGTTACCTGTGGAAAGGTTGGTTCAGTGGGGGCTATTCTGCCATTACCAAAAGTTGGGTCCTGTTCTCTACTTTTTAATTGGTAAGCATGCTTTGTAGTTATGGAAATCAACTCTTTGTAAGTGAATTGAAAACTCCCAGCCCCCAGTTTTTCTTTTATTTACCATGTTTTTTTCCCACAAAGAGTTTAAAAGTGTAAACATATTTTATTAGCTTTGTTTTTTGCAGTGCCTTCTGAATTTTTTATCCAGAGAGGTGTTAAGATTTTCCTGAGTGGTCTTCTTCATTCTAAGATTATAAAAATATGCACCTTTGCTTTCTATTACTTTCTGTCTTTCTTTTCCTTTTCTTTGTCCTGCCCTCCTTTTCTCTATCTTTCCCTCTTTTTTTTTTTTTCCAGCCATGAGTATTTATCAAGTGTGCCTATGATGCAAGAAAGAGAGATGGTCCCTGGTCTCACAGAGCTTATATCTTCATGACTCTGGGATCTGGCTAGATTTAGAAATAATTGCAGCAAGAACTTGTCTGTGTACCCATCAGCAGCACTGTATAAAGCACATTTTCACATTATCAGTCACTGTTACAGTGAAATTGTTAAGTGAGTAAAAATTATCCTTAAAATCTGTAGTCATAGAGATGACGTGGTATATAATGTCCAGCAAATGCACATTTATGGCTTGATTCCTCACATATCTGAGGGGTCTCCCTGGGATAATAGTTGCTATTTAGAATTGCCATCTTTCCTACTTTTAGGTGGAGTGGTTTTCCAGTTGAGTGTTCTTAAGATAAGCATTACTGAAAGGAAAGATAGCAGAAAGAATTTTTTCTTGGTTTCCCTCTTCATAGATGCCAGTGCTCCTGGATCAGAGTGGAGCCTCCTGCTCACGCACTACTTCTGAGAGCCAGTGGCGACCACAGAGGGAGTGCCCTCTTTCTTCTTTCACATTTAAATCTTTTTTAAAAAAAACTTATTAAATTTAATTTTAATTTGTGTATGTGTGTGTGTGTGTGTGACCAGGTCTTGCTGTGTCACTCAAGCTGGAGTGCAGTGGTACAATCATAGCTCACCCCTGGCTCAAATTCTTGGGCTCAAGTAATCTTCTCACTTCAGCCTCCTGAGTAGCTTGGACTACAGGCATGCACCACCATGCCCAGTGAAATTTTTAATTTTTTAATTTTTTTTCTCTACAGCCCCCAATTTTTTATTTCTTTTTTTTGTAGAGACTCACCAGGTTGCCCAAGCTGGTCTCAAACTCCTGGCCTCAAGCAATCCTCCTGCCTCAGTCTCCCAAAGTTCTGGGATTACAGGTATGGGCCATTGTGCCCAGCCTACATTTAAATCTTTGATCCTCTGAAGTGTGTTTTAATACATGCGATAAAGAGTAGAGAGGAGGAATTTTGTTTTAGCAAAATGGATAACTAATTGTCCTAATATCATTTATTGAAAAATTTATCATTTAAATATTTTATTTTGAATCCTCTGTATTAACCCTTAAGTTGCCATACCCTCTTCACAGATAGGGTATCTGAGAATAAGTTAAACATGCTCTTTGAGGTCACACCCCTGGAAACTTGAAACACCAGAATTCAAACTAAGTCTATAGACTCCACAGCTCACTTTTTGCCCCTTCCCATTATAAACCACCTTGTCTAGTGCCAGAGCTCAAAAGAGGCCGTGGGAACCCACTCATCTGCAGCCTCCTGAGAGACCGTGATTTGGAAAAGTTAAGGGCCCACCTGAGATTACCCAACAGCACAAGATATCATTAGTCTCTTTGTCTAGTGCTGCCTTCCAGGAGAACATGTTTTTGGAGAATGTCTTTGTGCTGCTAAAATAACTCAACTCCCTTAGATGGTTCAAAACATCTCAGCCTACAGCAAACTGGGCTTCATTTTGCACTAATAAGGTTCTATTGTTAATTTCAGAATCATATATTGCTATTTGAGATGCACCAATTGGCTTTAGATGGGAAAGGGTTATAAGAAATCGGAAGGTTTATGCTGCAAAGAGGGAGAGTAAGAGTTGGCATGTGGCTGGTACATTCCTTCCTTTTATGCTCCCCTTTTGTGGTGGCGAAAGTATGCTTTGCAGAGAGGTGAGAAGGAGGAAAAGCAGTTGGCTTGGCAGATGGACCAGGAGTGCTGCTCCCAACTGGGGCCCACGGGGCAGGAGCCCTCACATTCCACAGAGGAAGGTCAGCAGGAAATACTGACATCATGTCCGTGTCTATGAACGGCTGGAATGCTCTGTGGTTCCTGAACCATGTGAAAAATATGTGAGGTTGAAATGGGGAGATGCCCACTGCCATGAGCCATGTCTGCCAACATCCAGGTTTCCACCATTGGCTTCTCTTCAGAGCCCTGAGAGAGCAGCCCTGCAGACACTGTTCATGGACACTGACTGTGGCAAGAGGTGGCGACAGACCCTTGAGCTTAGTGGTCTATAGCTAGTAGGATTGATGATGGGGTAATGTGGGATTGATAGGGCGAGTAACATGGTATTAATAGTGGATTCTCTGTGGGGTGGCTGGGGGCATATCATGGGCCTGGTGGTTGTTGCAGCTCTGCTCTTGTCTTACTGTCTGCATGGTAGAGCTTGGCTAAAGCCAAAGGACACCCTGGGCCTATCTCCATTGCCCTAGAGGAGAAGGCAGGGCAGGTTCATTAGTCACAGCTGCTTCACCTGTTCTCTGTTCTCTCTGCTCTCAGGCTGTGGACAGTGCTGGGCCCACAGAAAAAGGTCCCTGACCTTGTAGACCAGGGCTTTGCAACCTATCTGTGGGGAATAATATGTTTTATTAATTTCCAATGTGGACAGAGATTTTAACACCCCCTTCCAGTACTTGTGATGTGGTTTGGACACCACGTCTCTTCGCCCACCACTCACCAGGATGGGACCAGACAGCCTCAGCCCTCCATCTGAGATAATACCCCAAGCAGGGAACCTCTTGGGAAAAGGCAGAGTTGCTATGCCAAATAAATCACATGTCCATTTAGTAATAAACCAACACAAATAGCACAAGTGGATTTTTGTGGCGTTTCCAAAGGTGAGCCTGTCTGTCCAGTGAAGCTGAGGAATCTGGACTGGGAGGACCCAGACTGCAGTCCGACCTCCAGCACCTTAGGCAGCCAGTGTTTCCAGTGCTGCAGCCACAGCTGAGGGGAAAACAGTTTACCAGACTTTAATGATGTTCACAAAACAACCACAGCCCTGGGCATGTTGTGTGCTCTTTGTAAATTAACTCACATAATCCTCACGACAACCTTCTAAGATGGGCACTGTTGCCTTCATCTCACCACGTTGGATGGCACAGTCACCAAGTTCCTGACCTCCTCTTCTCTATTGGTTTATTCGCAGGCCGGAAAAGAGGCATAAACTCGGAGAACCCAAGACCCCGGCCTGGCGTGCAGCCCCAGCAGCCGGACCAGCCTTGGGCAACAGCGTGCGACGTTCAGCTGTCTGTGTCTCCAGTGCTCCCATTCCATCGCACCTGAATGAGGGATTTGGGAGGTAAAACAGGCAAATAATGAAATATACAAATCTTCATTGTGCAGTTTTGATCAGTTGCTTCTCCTATGCAACCCTCACCCCAATAGAGACACAGCCTCTCGTCGGAACGCTCCTGCACACCCTTCTCGCAACCCCCACCACCTGCCCCCCACTCCCGACCAGAGCAGCCGCCGTCCTGGTGTCTCCCATCAGAGGTAAGTGTGGTCTCCCGACCAGAGCAGCCGCCGTCCTGGTGTCTCCCATCAGAGGTAAGTGTGGTCTCCCGACCAGAGCAGCCGCCGTCCTGGTGTCTCCCATCAGAGGTAAGTGTGGTCTCCCGACCAGAGCAGCCGCCGTCCTGGTGTCTCCCATCAGAGGTAAGTGTGGTCTCCCGACCAGAGCAGCCGCCGTCCTGGTGTCTCCCATCAGAGGTAAGTGTGGTCTCCCGACCAGAGCAGCCGCCGTCCTGGTGTCTCCCATCAGAGGTAAGTGTGGTCTCCCGACCAGAGCAGCCACCGTCCTGGTGTCTGCCATCAGAGGTAAGTGTGGTCTCCCGACCAGAGCAGCCACCGTCCTGGTGTCTGCCATCAGAGGTAAGTGTGGTCTCCCGACCAGAGCAGCCACCGTCCTGGTGTCTCCCATCAGAGGTAAGTGTGGTCTCCCGACCAGAGCAGCCACCGTCCTGGTGTCTCCCATCAGAGGTAAGTGTGGTCTCCCGACCAGAGCAGCCACCGTCCTGGTGTCTCCCATCAGAGGTAAGTGTGGTCTCCCGACCAGAGCAGCCGCCGTCCTGGTGTCTCCCATCAGAGGTAAGTGTGGTCTCCCGACCAGAGCAGCCGCCGTCCTGGTGTCTCCCATCAGAGGTAAGTGTGGTCTCCCGACCAGAGCAGCCGCCGTCCTGGTGTCTCCCATCAGAGGTAAGTGTGGTCTCCCGACCAGAGCAACCGCCGTCCTGGTGTCTCCCATCAGAGGTAAGTGTGGTCTCCCGACCAGAGCAGCCACCGTCCTGGTGTCTGCCATCAGAGGTAAGTGTGGTCTCCCGACCAGAGCAGCCACCGTCCTGGTGTCTGCCATCAGAGGTAAGTGTGGTCTCCCGACCAGAGCAGCCACCGTCCTGGTGTCTCCCATCAGAGGTAAGTGTGGTCTCCCGACCAGAGCAGCCACCGTCCTGGTGTCTCCCATCAGAGGTAAGTGTGGTCTCCCGACCAGAGCAGCCACCGTCCTGGTGTCTCCCATCAGAGGTAAGTGTGGTCTCCCGACCAGAGCAGCCACCGTCCTGGTGTCTCCCATCAGAGGTAAGTGTGGTCTCCCGACCAGAGCAGCCACCGTCCTGGTGTCTCCCATCAGAGGTAAGTGTGGTCTCCCGACCAGAGCAGCCACCGTCCTGGTGTCTGCCATCAGAGGTAAGTGTGGTCTCCCGACCAGAGCAGCCACCGTCCTGGTGTCTGCCATCAGAGGTAAGTGTGGTCTCCCGACCAGAGCAACCACCGTCCTGGTGTCTCCCATCAGAGGTAAGTGTGGTCTCCCGACCAGAGCAGCCACCGTCCTGGTGTCTCCCATCAGAGGTAAGTGTGGTCTCCCGACCAGAGCAACCACCGTCCTGGTGTCTCCCATCAGAGGTAAGTGTGGTCTCCCGACCAGAGCAACCACCGTCCTGGTGTCTCCCATCAGAGGTAAGTGTGGTCTCCTGACCAGAGCAACCACCGTCCTGGTGTCTCCCATCAGAGGTAAGTGTGGTCTCCTGACCAGAGCAACCACCGTCCTGGTGTCTCCCATCAGAGGTAAGTGTGGTCTCCCGACCAGAGCAGCCACCGTCCTGGTGTCTGCCATCAGAGGTAAGTGTGGTCTCCCGACCAGAGCAACCACCGTCCTGGTGTCTCCCATCAGAGGTAAGTGGGGTCTCCTGACCAGAGCAACCACCGTCCTGGTGTCTCCCATCAGAGGTAAGTGGGGTCTGTTTTTGAAAGTCACTGACACGAAACCGTGCAGAATGTACTTTTTGTGTCTGAGATTCACTCACCTCCTTGTGCAGAACCTTGAAGTCCTCGTGAAGAAATGTGGCCCCATTAGTGTCCTGCACCTTTTCTCCCCTCACTGATTGTTAGAAGCCAGGTGCTGTGCTATGCCTGCTAGGGCCAGTATTTGACAAATTCCCTGCTTCGCTAAAGAGGAGGGTTCGTGTCTGGAAGTCACGGGCCCGGTGACAGGCCCACTGTCTGTCCTGGAGGGCCAGACCCATCGTGCCAGTGAGTGCGGGCCTTGCCCACCGTTGTGTGTGCGGCCCTAGACACACTTGCAGAACTGGCCCCAATAGGGAGTTTAGAGAGAGGATTGCACAGGCGAGTGGATGAATGAGTGACATTTCAGAAGCTGAGGTTTGTAGCTGCTGCCTGCAATCTGTTCTGAAGTCCAGCAGCAGCAAAGGGGTGGGGAGGGGTCAGGCTCACCTGAGACAGGAAGGTGGGTTCCCCCAGGCAGAGGCTTGGCAGAGGGAATCATTGTTGGGACATCTCTAAAAATAAGTGACAGAAAGTTCCGAGTTCTCTCACGCAGTCTAGAAACACAGATTCTTACTGCACAGATTTTTCTTTAAAGTGAAGCAGGAATTTCAATGCTCTGAACTGACACCAGCAAACCAAGGCAGTTCTGGCTCATCCAAGGGTTGGGGTTCTTATTTCAAACTCGAGAGGCCTGGACTAAGATGCATCATCACTAACCAGGCTCCAACAAGGCAGAAATGCCGCTTTATCAAAACCACCGCAGGCTGGAGAGAAATAAGAGCTGCCTTGCCAAGGCTGGGACCGCCAGCAGAGGCATACTCAGCTTCCAGGTGGGGCCTGCCAGCTGGGGGCTGGCCCTGAAGATCACAGACTCCCAGACCGAGGGGGCGGGAAGGTCGTCTCATCCAGTGGGGACCCCTGTCCAGCCTTTTCTCCTGCTCTGTAGAACCTGTGGGGTCATTTCAGGAAACAAAATATACGAAGCTATCCAGCCTCAAAGCCATAAGTAACTAAGTAACTGAAAAATTAGACCCAAGCTTCCAGAAAAACGGTGCAGAACATCCTCCCACTCCCTTGGGTTGGGAGCTCCTAAAGGCGTTTCTTATTCCTCTCTGTTCTTCTGTCACGACCAGGGCTGAGCGTGCGTTCGAGCTTCTCCTGCATCATGACCAGGATGCTCTGGGACACCTTGTCCACGTCTGTGTCCACCAGTCCTGCTCAGAATCTCCCCAGGGGCTTTTCCACGATGCCCATCCAGGCGTCACCCTCACTCTAGGCCAGGAGGAGAAGGCATGCCCTGAGGATTCAGCCTCTTCTTCTTCATCCCTCCCAGCACCCAGTGTGTTGGGTGCACACAGTAGGTGCCCCATAAGTATCATAAGACCACAATGTGTTGGGTGCACACAGTAGGTGCCCCATAAGTATCATAAGACCACAATGTGTTGGGTGCACACAGTAGGTGCCCCATAAGTATCATAAGACCACAATGTGTTGGGTGCACACAGTAGGTGCCCCATAAGTATCATAAGACCACAATGTGTTGGGTGCACACAGTAGGTGCCCCATAAGTATCATAAGACCACAATGTGTTGGGTGCACACAGTAGGTGCCCCATAAGTATCATAAGACCACAATGTGTTGGGTGCACACAGTAGGTGCCCCATAAGTATCATAAGACCACAATGTGTTGGGTGCACACAGTAGGTACCCCATAAGTGTCGGAAGACCATAGTGCTCCTAGTGTCTTGCTCCTAAACACCGCACTACTCACTATGCAACATGGTTTGCACAGGTCTTCAAGGGAGAAAAACAAACTTCTCAGAACTCTCCAGCAAAATACAAATGTTTTGGTATTGAATATATTGTATTTAACTCAAAGCATTGGATGCTGTCAGGCTGGCCAGGTGATATTTATGAAGAGTCTTACAGGCATTTGTTGTCCCAACATTCTACTTCTGGGAATTTATCCAACGGAAATAATTCAAAATGCAGAAAAACTATGGCCAAAAATATTCATTGTAGTATAGCATTATTAGTACTAGTGAAAAATGTACACCAACCAAATGTCTAATAGGGAGGTTGTTAAGTGGCTGTGGTAAATTCTCTGAATGTATGGTCATGGAGAAAGAGAGAATAACATTTATCAAGAATTAATAACATTCCATCCATGAGTTATGATAAAGTAATCTGTGATAATTCCGTTCTAAAAGATATAAAATTATATATATGACATATAAGCCCAACCATTTTTTTCCTTGAACTACAATATAAGAGTTCTTAAGGGAAATATGGCAAAATGTTCAAGGATGGTTTGTGGTTTCTCTGGGTGATGGGACTGTAGGTGATTTCTTTTACATTTTTTTTCCCATCATGCGTGTATTACAATGGAAACTTCCAACGGGACGCCGGCCCCACCCTGTGTGCTGGTTTCTATGGCTACCTGTCATGTCCTCCGCACCCTCTCCTCTCCCCTGAATACAGTTCCTAGAGACCTTGAGTCCACAGCCCTGGGGCTCTGCACACTGCGGGTCCGGTGGTGTTTCCAGCGCCGTGTGGATGACTTCCCCGCGTGTTTCCCCCTCTACACAGTTGAGGAACAGAGAAGATCTCCACTTGCCAACGGACACAGCGCTAGTGAAGCCAATTATTGCTACATCCACTGATAAAGTTCGGGGGGAATTAAATTTTTTGGTCCATGGATGCAAATCGCCTCCAGGCACCTTTACTATCTCAGTGCTCTCCTCAGGAGGCTGCTGTTGGTGGCCAGGGATTTTGCCATAGCAAAGTTCTTACAGATTCCCAAACAATAGCACTCAGCTGTCTGCCTCTCTGGCAGGAGGACGGACATTCGCAGCTTTGGACTCATTTTCTTCCAAATATGAACACTTTCAAAGACAGGGATCTGCCAATGACTTTACCAGGAGGGCCTTGCCGGAGCTGTCACTGCTGTGGCATGCAAGAAAGCAAGAGTCCTCCAGGAAGCCGGCCAAGAGGCGCCTTCTCTTAGGCCAAACATGGGCAACATGAGAATAAGAATACACAAAATCAGGAGAACTAACAGGAGGCTGTGAGGAACTCACCCCAAATAATGAGGAAGCTGGAGAATAAGACCAGCCTGGTCCAACTAATGGCTGCTCCGTTGGAGGCACAGGAGTGCAGAGGCAGCGAGGCCTGCAGAAGACCCCTCGCTGCGCTGGGCGGCAACTCCAGTGAAAAGCTGCTAATCAAACACAACTGAATTCACACTATTTTAAAAATAAGTCTGTAAAGGCAAAACAGGTTAATAGTATTTTGACACTAAGCTTGTAGTTATAACAGATACTTTAAAAGGTCAATCCCAGTTACCACGGTGACTGCAGCTCAGGCACCGCAGAAGTGCGTGAGGATGAGAGTGAGGGAGCCGCAGCCTGGAAGGGTGGGTCCCAAAGTCTCACTGGCTGATAGGGTTTGGCTGTGTCCCCACCCAAATCTCACCTTGAATTGTAGGTTCCATAATCCCCACGTGTTGTGGGAGGGACCTGGTGGGAGGTAATTGAATTATAGGGGCGGGTTTCTCCCGTGCTGTTGTTGTGATAGTGAATAAGTCTCACACAATCCGATGGTTTTATAAAGGGCAGTTCCCCTGCATACACTCTGTCACCTGCCGCCCTGTAAGATGTGTCTTTGCTCCTCCTTTGCCTTCCACCATGATTGTGAGGCCTCCCCAGCCATGTGGAACTGTGAGTCCATTAAACCTCTTTTTCTTTATAAATTACCCAGTCTCGTTTAGGTCTTTCTTAGCAGTGTGAGAATGGACTAATACACTGGCAAATACCAGGGACAACTGTGGTGGTTGTTGTAACAAGAAGGATGACAGTCTCTGCCTACTGAGCACACAGTGTGCCGGATGCTGCAGCGCATGTGGGCAGAGAGGCCTCACTCTGTCTCACAGCGACCCCATGAGGCAGGTGTCACTGCCTCAAGCTACAAATAAAGAAACCGAGGCTTGAGAAGAATCAGTGACCTGTAGGAGATCACGCAGTTAATAAGCAATCAGGGCCGTGTTTGCAACCCAGACAGAACTTTCAAGCCCTTATCAGCAACATGGAAATAAATAACTCAAAGGTTAATTCCAGAAAGTTTCCTTACTCAAAGCGCATCTTGGCATTGATTTCACAGGCAGCAAGCCTCATCCCAAGCAATGCTAAAAGGTTTCATCACCCCAGCCCCATCCCCAGGCATCTGCTTGTCAGGCTTTAAGGTGATAAAGAAAGAGGAAGGATCATAAAAACACCCACGAAGAAATACAAGGGGGCTATCTAACTATTTTGGAATTAATCCCCTAGACTTTTGGAATGAGGATACATTGAGGAAAAGGTTATGGCAAGTTTGAGTCTGTCACCAACCTGCATCCGAGCCCCAGCAGGCCCTTCAGGTAACAAATCAAAGGCCTGTGTCCTGGTTCTTGCCCCTGCAGTCCTGGCCAACACTTTCTCTTAAGCGGCACCCACTGACCGGCTGCCTGGCAGCCTCCTCACCTTCCCTCTTCACTTGCTACATCTGATCCTTCAACAAGGCAGGAGTCCTGCGTCTACAGGCTTCTCCAGGAGCGATCTCTCTGTCAGGCTAATTAAACGGCAGCTACTCCCCAGGACAGTCCTGGAATCCTTGCTGAATCGTGGAAGCTCCAGGCAACCACAATACCCAGAATCTTTCCGTCACAGTTTAAGCCAGAGGTAGGGTCCCAGCAGGGGCCACTCGACCTTGCAGGAAAGCTCCCACATCCTACCCACGGGATGTTCTGGACCCCACTTCTGTTGTTGAGGTGAGGCTTTATTTTACTTCAAAAGTGTAGTACTTAGAAAAAAGTCAAGATAGTTGTATCTAGGAAGTAAAGATTCGTTTAATAAATTATTCAAAACTTCAGTATATCCTATTGCAATAATACTGAAACCAACTAAGAGAAAGGATGACGATACCCATCAAAGGGAAGTTAAGACCATCTTCTTAAGTAAATCAGAACCGGTGCCTGCACAGAATGAGCTGCTAAAAGAGATTTAAAAGCAATGAAAACACACAGATACGACCTGCCGTGTTCGTAATGTGCAGCCCAAGTGCGATTTCATATGACAGTTTCCCAAATTGCACCCTTCTGTGTGCAGATTTCAAAGTTTTGCCATATCCATGTGCTCTGAATTATTGTCTACCTAGGGCATCTTCAATAGACTCATTAAATACATTTAAATGTAAAATATGTTTACATTTAAATACATTTAAATACATCTGTGTGAGATTGAAGGTCCATTGTGCTGCCTGGTTTTTTCTACAGCACACTAAAATAAATTAGTAACTATTTTAAAAAATATCCATCCAGGTACCACCTAGAGCCCTGTCATATCCCCTCTGATCATCACCCACTGGCACTGGGTGTGACACCTTCCCCATGGGAACATGGCAGGACAACCCAGGAGGAGTCAGAGGACAGTGGGGGTCAGAACAGAGTGGGCAGCGCTGTGCGCAGTCCCCCGCCGGACGGCAGTGTCCTGAAATGTCAGCATGCTGGCATTTTATCCTACTCCTTTTATTAGGGAGCCTGAAATTTAAAAACATAGGCAGGCCCTGCTTATCAACACGGGTAATTTCCTATCTCGAGTGCATTCTCACTGAAGCAGGCCTTCCTATGATGTGTCCTAGGGAGATGGGCGTCACAGTTTGGGTTAACACTGAAAAACGTAAGGACAGTATAAAGATTTGAGTAGTAACCAAGATGGCACTCTTTAAACTTCAAACAATGTTTTTACAATTAATTTTTTTCTAATTATAAAAGTAATCCGTGTAGATTGCAGACCATTTGAAAAATACAGGAAAACACAAAGAAGGAAATAAAATTTATGCAGAGATAACCACTACTATGAAGTGGGCACTGAGTTCCATTAGGAAAAATTCCTAGGGGAGGAATTAGGGAATCAAATATTGAGTTTTCCTGTCAAGGGTGGTGCCAAGCTCTTCTGGTTGGCCACACATAGCCGACATGCCAGGCCAGCCTGCACCCTCCATCCCTCCACACACATCCAGAGCCGGGGGCCCAGGTGGCCTCTCCCACAGCTAAGGCTCAGCAGAGCCAAGGGTGGCTGCCAGGCCCGCTGGTGCCCTCTGCATGCATCTCTGCCTCTTGGGAATGGGCCAGGACTGCAGAGTGGGAGAGCGCTCAGGAAGGCTTGGTGGAGACAAACTGGCAAAGTGTTTTTAATGCTGCAAAACCAAATATATGCAAGAAAGCTGTAAAAATTGGAGGAAGATGACATTCAAAGGGATTCTGCCCTCAGATCACCATGACAGCATCTTTAATTCTTGCCTTAATTTAAGGAAATAAAGCGTAAAACCATGAGTGATGAATTATAAGATTTTTAAAATTTCTTTTCTTTTTGCCAGGAAAAAACAAATTCAAAGAGCAGACCTCACAGAGATGTTCTCACAAGAATCAAATCAATTCAGACTCATATATTTTAAGTTAAAAGGAAGCATTTGAGATGTATATGTATCATTGTCAATTTCCTGCTTTACCTGATTTTTTCACTTATTTGAAAATATTTCAACAAATAAAAGGGCTCCTAAGTGTTCAGCATGTTTCTGCATCTAGTCACCTGCTTTTTCATGTCCCTTAGTGGAGTTTTATATTTCTGTTTGCTTTACAAATGTGTACATGGTGGGTTTTATATTTTTATGCTCTCAGACTTACCGGTCCTCCCATCTCTGGTTTCTGCCTTTGGTATCATGCTGACATCTCTCAACTGACCCAATTTTTTCCTATAGTTCCTTACAAAATTTGTTGTTTCTTCAATATAAATTTTGTACTCATCTCTTGGCCTAACAAGTCCTGGGTATTTAAGATGCTGGGTTGTTATTTCGAACAGGCTCCCCCTCACTCTTGCTTGCGAGGTGGTTATTGCTAGCATCTGGGAATGCTATTGGATTTCTATATTGATTTTACTCACCATCATTGTAATTTCCTCTCTTAATTTTACTAACTTTGAGTCCATCCTTTGGGGTGTTTGGGAAAGTTTTTTGGCTTGAAGTTCTGACTCTGGAATCAGCCAGACCTGCGTTTGCATTCCAGGAGTAGCATCTGTAAGACGTAAGCCTTGGGCAGGTCCCGATTCTCTGCAAAATGTGTGTGGAATGAGACAGAGTGGCTGGAAAATGTATACAGGGCCTGGCACAAAGAGACGCTTGGATGTGTCATCTGCAGGTGGTGATAGTTTCTTTTTCTTTCTTTCAAATACTGCACACTTTGTTTATTTGCTGATTGCTCTTGCTGCACTGGTAGAGCTTCTAGAGGACCTGTGGCTACAGACGGTCTCCTGCTGCAGCCCTGAGCTGGAGAAGCCCCCTGTTTTTGGGCTGAGGGTGCGGGTGTTTCACGTTCAGGGTCAGGAGGCTCCTCTCAATTTGTGCATGGTGCAGACGTCCCTGTGGTCTTCTTTGATAGATTTGGGGAGCCTGAGTTGCTTCTGTGGCTGAAGAAGTTCTCAAGTCCCGGTAGGAGGAAGCCAGGGAGCCTTTCGGTGCTTCGTGGATTGGATATGCCATTAAATACCTTACAGGGACTGCGCTTGGCTGAAGTCCAGGTGGTTTCTGGGACAGCTGGGCTCAGGGCAGGGTCCTGTCGGGCTCCCTGGGTGTCAGCGGCACCTGCCCCTGCAGGTGCTGCTCTTTGAGCCTCCCCACCCCCACTTCTGCTCCCACCGGGAGGATCTGCTGGCCTGGTGGGGCCCAGGAATGCAGAAGACTTTCCTCCTCCTCCCCCACCTTTCTTCTCTCTTGGTTATCTCTAAGTCTAAAGGGTTGTGGAAATGTGTTGGGCAAAAACAGATGGGAAGCCTCCAGGGAGAGGCAGCCTGTCTTCAGCAGGGAGATTCATGGCTTTCGATGTACAGCCAGGAGGGTGAATAAAAGCTGGCACGTAGAACACATTCAAGTGCGTTTTCCACTGACTTTAAAAAGCAAAAACTTGTTAAGGAAGTTTCCTTTTATTTCTGGTTATCAGTAATTATTTTTCAGGTAAGGTTGCTAAATTATATCATTGCCTTTTCAGCAATAATGATGAAAACCAAAGGATTTCCTCTTTTTGACCTACTTCCCTTTCTGATGTGATGAATTAGTGTTTTAAATGTATAACATGTATAAATATGGCTATATTTTCTAATATTGAACCAATCTTGCAATCTTAAGATAAACACAGACAGGTCTCATGTATTATTATTTTACTATGTGGCTAGATGTGATTTGCTAAAAATTTGATTAGAAATTTCTTTTTAAGTTTTTAAGATCAACTTTATTGAAGTATAATTCATGTATAATAAACCCTTTGGAGTGTCCAATTCAATGACCCACCACAACCAAGATACAGAACGACCGAGCCCTCCCTCCAGACTCTGCGGATTCTCTGCAGCTAGGGCCCCTTGGCCCCACACCTGGAGCCGCTGATATGCTGTCACTGTGTGTTTGTTTGAATTTTTTGCATTACACGTACTGCATTCTGATTATCCACCTTCTGTTGATGAACATTTAGGTGGTTTCCAGTTTTTGGCTTTCCACTTCTCCTGGATCAACACCTACAAGGGGAATGGCTGCATCATATGATAGGTGGAAACTTTCAAACTGTCTTCCAAAATCGTGCGATGTGCTGGCTTTTCTGGTTGCTCCACATCCTCACTAATACCAGCTACAGTCAGTCTTTTTCATTTCACCCTTTCTAGTGGATTTGTACTGGAGTCTCTTTGTGGTTTTAATTTGCATTTTCCTGATATGCTTATTCAACACCCATATATCTTTTATGTCTGTCTAAATCATTTGCCCACTCTTTTGTTGGGTCATTCGCCATCTTCTCATTGATGCATAAGAGTTATTTATCTTAGACACAAGTTTAGATATATGTATTGCAAATATTTTCTCTATTCTATGATTTGCTTTATTGTTCCCTTAATGGTGTCTTTCCCAAAGCAAAAATTTTAAATTTACCAAGTTTTTCTTTAATGGTTTATGGTCTTTTGTGTCATAGCTAAGAAATATTTGCTGGCTTTGAGACTTTCTTCTAGAAGTTCTACAGTTTTTGGTTTTACATTTAGGGCTATGATTCATTTTGAGTTAATTTTGGTGTATAATATCAATCAATGTTCATTTTTTCAGCCAGGCGCAGTGGCTCACACCTGTAATCCCAGCACTTTGGGCAGATTGCTTTAGGTCAGGAATTCGAGAACAGCCTGGCCAACGTGGTGAAACCCCATCTCTACTAAAAATACAAAAATTAGCTGGGTGTGGTGGCAGGTGCCTGTAATCCCAGCTACTTGGGAGGCTGAGGTAGGAGAATCGCTTGAACCTGGGAGGTGGAGGTTGCAGTGAGCTGAGAACACACCACTGCACTCCAGCCTGGCAACAGAGTGAGACTCCGTCTCAAAAAAAACAAAAAACAAAAAACAAAGGATTTTTATATCAATAAAGGACATTGGTCTATGGTTTTCTTTTTTGTTATTGTCTTTACCTGGTTTTGGTATTAATATTAATTTTGTAAAATGAGTTGGAAAGTGTTCTTTCCTCTTCTATTTTCCAAAGGAGATTGGGTGGAATTATAAATTCTTTAAACATTTGGTAGAATTCTCCAATAAAACCATCTGGGCCTGGAGATTTCACTTTTGGCAATTTTTAAATTACAAATTCAATTTTCTAAATAGTTGTAAAACTATTCAAATGATCTATTTCATATTGGATGTGTTGTCGGGTTTTTTTTTTTAATGAATTGGTCAATTTCATCTAAGTAGTCATATTTACATAGAATTGTTTGCAGTATTCCTTTAATATCCTTTGATGTCTGCAGGGTCTTTAGTATGGCCCCTGTTCATTTCTAATATTGATAATTTATGCCTTCTCTCTTTTTGGTCAGTCTTGCTACAGATTTGTCTATTTTATTGATCTTTTTAAAGAAAAAGTTACTTGTTTCCTTGATTTTTCTCTTTTGTTGTTCTTTTTTCAACTTTGTGGATTTCTGTTCTTATCCTTATTATTTCTTTCCTTCTGCTATTTTGGGTAAAATATTATTTTGCTTTTCTTTTTCTAGGCTCTGGAGGCGGGAGCTTAGATTACTGATTTGAAACTTTTCTCTTTGCTAATATAGGTATTTAGTATTATAAATTTCCCTGTCAGTACTGCATTAGGTATATCACTTAAATTTTGATTTATATTTTTATTGTCATTCAGTTTAGTGCATTGATTTTCTTTGACTTTCTCTGTCACCCATGGATTCTTTAGAATAGTACTGCTTAGTTTTCAAGCATCTGGACATCTTGTTATCTTTCTGTTATTGATTTCTAACTTGATTCTATCGTGGTCAGAGAACACATTCTCTGTTTAAAATTCTTTTTAAGTCTGTTGAGATTCGTTTTATGGCCCAGGATATGGTCTATCTTAGTATACATTCCATTGGCATTTGGAAACAGCATATATTCTGGTGTTGTTGAGTGGGTGTTCTGTAAATGTTGATTAGATTCTATTTGTTGATGGTGTTATTGGGTTCTATGTTCTTGCTGATTTTCTGTCTAGTTATTTTATCAATTATAGAGAAAAGCATGTTGAAGTCTCCAACTATAATTGTAGACTTGTCTATTTCTCCTTTATGTTCTATTAATTTTTGCCTCACATACTTTGTATATCACTATTAGGAGCATACATATCTAGAGTTCATTCCTATGTCTTTTCGGTGGATTGACCCTTTTATCATTATACAATGTCCCTCTCTATCTCTGGCAATTTTCTTTGTTCTGTCGTCTATTTTATCTGATGTACTATAATCACTTCTGCTTCTTTTTTGCTTAATGTTTACGTGATAAACTTTATTCCATTCTTTAACTTTCAACTCTTCTATATTGTTATGTCTGAAGTGAGTTTCTTGTAACTAACACATAGTTAGGTCACAGTTTTTAATCCATTCTACAAATGTTTGTCTTTAATTAATGCAGTTAGACCATTTACATTTAATGTAATTATTGATATTTTAGGACCTAAGTCTGACATTTTTTTTTGTTTTCTGTTTGTTCTGTTTTTCAGTGCTCTTTTTTCCTTTTCTGTCTTCCCATGAGTTACTTGAACAATTTTTATAACTCCATTTTGATTTTTCTATAGTGTTTTTAAGTATATCTCTTTATATTAGTTTTTAATGATTGGTCTAGATATTACATTTATATAAATAGCTTATCACTGTATACTTGTATCATCATTTTACCACTTTGAGTAAAGTATAGAAACTTCACCTCCCTTTGTCTTTTTTATCTCTTATCTATGATATAATTGTCATAAGTATCTCCTCCAGATATATTAATATTTAGAGCTACAGTGGTTTAATTTTTGCTTCATCAAATATAATTTAGAAAATTTGAGAGGAGAAAAAAGGCATATTATATATATCCATACTTTTGCTACCTTGTTCTTCCTTCCTGATATTCCAAGTTTTCCTCTTTGATCATTTTCTTTCTGTGTAGGGAAGCCCCTTTAGCCATTCTTTTTGGATGGATATGCCAGTGACAAATGTTCTTAGTTTTCTTTCAGTTAAGAATGTCTCAATTTTCCCTTTCAATCCTGAAGATTATTTTTGCTGAATACAGACTTTTGTGTTGGCAGTTTTGTGTGCTACTTCCTTCTAGCCTCCACGGTTTCTGATGAGAAATCTGTTGCCATTTGAATTGCTTTTCCCTATGGGTAAAATGTCATTTCTCTCTGTGTCTTTACTTTCCAGAAGTTTGACTATGATGTGTCTTGGTATGAATTTTTTTGAATGTATCCTGTTTGGAGTTTTTTCAGCCTCTCATATTTGTAGGTTTATGTCTTTTGCCAAATTTCTTAAGTTTTCAGTCATTTTATTTTTGGTTTTTCCAGCTCCATCCTCTTTCTCCTCTCCTTCTGAGATTTTGATGACACGAATTCAGATCTTTTGTTATAGCCCCAGAAGTCCCTGAGGTTCTGTTCATGTTTTTTCCAGTCTATTTTCTCTCTGTTGTTCAGATTGGGTAATTTTTATTGTACTTCTGTTTCGCTGATTCTTTCCACTGTTTCTTCAATTTTGCTGTGGAGCCAACCCATTGAGGTTATTTATAAGTAAGGACTTACTACTGCCGTTGTGTTGCTTGTTTTCTGGTTGTCTCATAACTCCTCTCCTCCTCTCTTTCTTTGTTACTGTCATCCTTTGTGGTTAAGTGGTTTTCTCTGGTAGTATGTTTTAATTCATTGCTTTTTATTTTTAGTGTATCTATTATAGGATTTTGCATTATGATTACTGAGGCTTACAAAAACACTTTATAGACATTTTGAAGAGATGACAACTATCGTAGATCTGTTTGCTTTTTAAATCATTTTTCTCTTTAATTTATATGGTGTTTATCAATCTCTTTAAGCTTACTACTATTTTCCTCTATTAAACCTGAACTTTTTATTTCAAATATTGTATTTTTTAGTTTTAAAATTCCATTTGGTTCTGTTTAATATTTTATATTTTCCTGCTTAGATTTTTTTATATTTTCATTCATCATAAGCATACCTTTACTTCACTAAGCACAGTTACAATAGCTGTTTTAAAGTACTTGTCTGGTAACTCCAACAGTCTTTTCATCTCAATATTGGAAACTAAAAGTTGTCATTTCTTTTGAAGATTGGTAATATTTTTCTTGGTCTTCATATGTCAAATAATTTTGGATTTTATCCCAAATATAAATTTTATGTGTAGTGGCTCTGGATTCTATTTCTCCAGAAAGTGTTGACAATTTTTGCTTTAGCAGGCAATCACCTTCCTCAAGAGAGGAAGTTTCTAAACCAAGGCGAGTGGTCTGCAGAGCAAAATCAAGGCAGGCAGACCTCCTCCATCCAAGAGGGCTCTTGGCTTCACTTAGGAGAGATTCACACACACACACCGACAGTGGAGGAAGCGTTGATCAGGAGTGATTCACACATGAGCCAACAGTGGAGGAGGCATTGATCAGGAGTGATTCACACATGAGCCAACAGTGGAGGAGGCATTGATCAGGAGTGATTCACACGTGAGCCAACAGTGGAGGAGGCATTGATCAGGAGTGATTCACACGTGAGCCGACAGTGGAGGAGGCATTGATCGGGAGATGATTCACACGTGAGCCGACAGTGGAGGAGGCATTGATCGGGAGATGATTCACACGTGAGCCGACAGTGGAGGAGGCATTGATCGGGAGATGATTCACACGTGAGCCGACAGTGGAGGAGGCATTGATCGGGAGATGAATCACACGTGAGCCGACGGTGGAGGAGGCATTGATCGGGAGATGAATCACACGTGAGCCGACGGTGGAGGAGGCATTGATCGGGAGATGATTCACACGTGAGCCAACGGTGGAGGAGGCATTGATCAGGAGAGATTCACACGTGAGCCGACGGTGGAGGAGGCATTGATCAGGAGAGATTCACGCGTGAGCCAACAGTGGAGGATGCATTGATCAGGAGATGATTCACACATGAGCCAACAGTGGAGGAGGCATTGATCAGGAGAGATTCACACATGAGCCAACGGTGGAGGAGACATTGATCAGGAGTGATTCACATGTGAGCCAACAGTGGAGGAAGCATTGATCAGGAGATGATTCACACATGAACCAACAGTGAAGGAGGCATTGATCAGGAGATGATTCACACATGAGCCGACAGTGGAGGAGGCATTGATCAGGAGAGATTCACACATGAGCCGACGGTGGAGGAGGCATTGATCAGGAGTGATTCACACGTGAGCCAACAGTGGAGGAGGCGTTGATCAGGAGAGATTCACGCCTGAGCTGACGGTGGAGGAAGCGTTCATCAGGAGAGATTCGCACGTGAGCTGACAGTGGAGGAGGCGTTGATCAGGAGAGATTCACACAGAATCAGACAGTGGAAGAAGCATTGATTAGGGCGACAGGGCACAGCCAAAGGCTGCTGCACGGACAGAGCAGGGCTGTCCACTGGCAAAGGGGCCCCCTCAGATTGCTGGCTGGCTGTTTATACCTCCACCTAATTACACGTAAATGAGGGGTGGGTTATTCACGAACCTTCTGGAAAGCGGTGTGGAGGTCATGCGGTCCTGGTAACACAGGCTGCTTCCTTTTCAGTGACCAGCGTCATTTGGCGCAGCCCCCAGAGTCTCATGACAACGACCTTGTTCTGCTCAAGAGCCCTGTACGGTCCCCTCTTCTGTGGATGGAAACTGAGGCACAGCAATGACAGCATCAACGGAGCCACCCTGCTCCTGGCTGTGCTCTGCAGGAGCCTCCACTCGGGGGCAGAGGACAAACAGCCCCACACTTGGAAGCACAGCTCGGGAGCAGCAGCTGAGTTGCGCTGTGAGGAGATGCCAGGCGGCTGTTTATCCATCGGCTGCTTGCAAGTGATGGGGCCGGGTTTACCCTCCTTTCCTGCCCATGATTTGGGCTCTTGGCAAATCAAAGGTTTAAAGATACCAGCTCTTGGAACCACAAAGTAAACACAGCATATCTTCCTAATTCCTTTCACCACGCGGTGCACAGTTTTATGTGCTAATTGTGTTTACTGGAAGAACTCATGGCTGGTTCAAACAAATTCTTATCGTGGAAAAAACGTCTCCCCTGCCGTCAGCTGCTGGTACTGGTGGGATAGGAGTGCAGCACGGAGCACAGAGGCTGGAGCTGGGTCAAACCGGGAGGCAAGAGTGCAGGTGCACTGCTCCTGAGCTCAGCAGGCCCCACGGCATCTGCTGTGTGTAGAGGGGCTGACCGTAGATCGCTGCTTATTGTGGTTCCGTTTAAGAGTCCTCCCTGGCAGGATCCCTGCTCCTTAAAAGCACAGTGCAGAGCATCTTAGCTCCGATGCACCAAGCATGCCCCAGCTGTGCCTCAGCGAGGAGGGTGAGCTCTGGGCCAAGACCCCCTCTCCTGGTCCGGGACCCCTGAGCGCTTTTGACTCGGGATGACTGACAAAGTCCCTGGCCGGGTTTGTTCTTCCCAGGCTGTCCCAGTGGCTTCTGAATTTTTGGCCCATGTCTTGGGTGTAGAAACTACAAGAGAATTTTAGTAGAGCAGTGTGTTGTTGGCAAGCAAGTTAGATCATCCCACTGAGCTTCTGTGACTTTCCTCTTTGCAGTTATGGTTCCAAACCAGAGTTTCCCTAGGAAATAAACACGGAGGGGCTGAAAGGACCTGGGGCCATCGGGGGTGGATGGCCATATCCTGGGGCCTTGATGCCAGTGCCGACTGTTCCCTGCACGCTTCCACGTCCACGCCAACATTGCAAGGCTATGTCACGGACTGGAACAGCTACAGTGATGACACACCTGAGGTGAACACAACTCCAGCAGCATCCTGGCCTCTCATGGGGCAAGTGCATGTGGAATCTAGAAACTTCACAGCTGAGCCTGCAAAGGTGCTCATGGCATGCAGAAGTGTTTCTGGGTAGGTAAAGCCCAGGCTAATCGCAGGTTCAGTGACCCGACAGTGCATTTAGGACAGTGATACTAGATGGGACGACCAAGCTCTGTGAGTTACACAATGGGGTGAGTTAGACAGTGGGGTGAGTTACACAATGATGGGGTGAGTTACACGATGGAGTGACTTACATAATGGGGTGAGTTACAAAATGGGGTGAGTTACACAATGATGGAGTGAGTTACACAATGATGGAGTGAGTTACACAATGGAGTGAGTTACACAATTGGGTGAGTTACACAGTGAGGTGAGTTACACAATGATGGGGTGAGTTATACAATGATGGGGTAAGTTATACAATGATGGGGTGAATTACACAATGGGGTGAGTTACATAATGGGGTGAGTTACACAGTGAGGTGAGTTACACAATGATACGGTGAGTTTCACAATGATGGGGTGAGTTACACAATGATGGGTGAGTACACAGTGGGGTGACTTGCACAGTGGGGTGAGTTACACAATGGGGTGAGCTACACAGTGGGGTGAGCTGCACAATGATGGGGTGAGTTACACAATGATGGGGTGAGTTACACAGTGGAGTGAGTTACACAGTGGGGTGATTTGCACCATGGGGTGAGTTACACAATGATGGGGTGACACAGTGGGGTGATTTGCACAGTGGGGTGAGTTACACAATGGGGTGAGTTGCACAGTCAGGTGTTACACGGTGGGGTGAGTTGCACACTGGAGGCTTCAGGCTCGCTCCCCCTTGCTCTCCCCCAATAGATCCAGTGGTAGGAAGTCATTTCAAGCAGCTTGTGAACATTCACAGAAGCAGCTCAGGATCATCCTGCTGCTTCTGAGAGGTAAGCTGGACAGGTTACTGCCTCTGACATGGGGGAGGAGAGAAAACTCCTGAATTTTGGTGCCCCCAGATATATCGTGGATCAAGAGGTCAGTATTATTCCATGCTTCTTCCCACTGTGAAACAAAATGAGACGTCTAGCGGGAGCCTCGCGTTGCCAGTGAAATCAACCCAGATGTGCAGGCATGAAAAAAAAATAGCCGGAAAATCTGCCCAGGAGACCAGGGACAGCCAGGAGACACAACGCCAGGGCCGGGGCGCTCCCAGCAGGGCTGGCCTGACGTTGCCACCAGTGTGGAGGGTCCCCAGTGGGGCATGCGGGACACGCCCCGGAGGCCCGTCGGGAGGTCAGGCAGTCCCACGGGGGAAGCAGCTCAGCCCAGTGAAGTGGCCGTCCACACTCTCAGAGGAGCCTACCACGTAAGGCACTGGGAGTTGAGTGACCCTGAGGGCCACAAGGCTGGGAGAAGATTCAGAGCTTGCACTCTTTGTCCATAGCCATAGCTGGCTGTGTGGGATTCAAATGGAAAACAGAGGGTTCCAGAAACCATGGTGACCACAGACAGCCCTTGCCTCTGCAGGGTACATCAGGGCTCAGAATGTGCTGTCCCCCTTATCAATCATCACTGAGACCTCAGCAGAATGAGAGGGCCCCGCAGAGACAGCAGGCAGGGGCCAGGCCTTGGAAATGCTGCACACGGACCGGACCCCAGTCGTCCTGCCACGGCCATGCCCATCTCGGCTGAGGCCACCGAGGTCTGGAGAAGGTCCTCACTTGCTCAAGGACACACGGCGGGTAGACTGGCTAGATTCATGCTCAGAGTGTTTCCTGCCTCTCCCCGGGGCCCCTTGATGTCAGGTTTGGGTGACGCTTTCGCCAATGTCCTGGCCGAGCAGATGCCTCAGGGGCTATCATGTGGTTCCACCATGTCCCCATCCTCCAGCCCACAGAGCCTCCCATGAGAGGCATCCTTCAGCCTGGGTCCCAGAACTGAGAGGCCATGGAGCAGAGCTCCAGCTGACCATCATGTGCCTGTAGCGCGAGTGAGAAGCACACGCTGTCGCTGGAAGCCCAAGACACAGGAGGCCATTTGTTTCTGCAGTGCAGCCCGGCTCAAGCTGACTGATCCCAAGTGAGGCTCAAGCCTGCCTGCCCAGCCCCGGAGCCACCACTTCTGCCCCACAACCCTGCCTCTCGGGGTGACAGGAAAGGCAGTTCTTACGCATCGTAGAGAGGAGGCGGGTGCAGTCGCTGCAGTAAACAGGAGCTGATAAGAGCCAGTGGGACTGAAGAGCTGCCTGCTGGGGAGCGGCTCTGTGGAATTCCACCCCGGGCACGGTGGGCACACGTGTCACTCTTGGCAGGTGTGGACACTAATGAGACTTTGGGTACAGCTACCTGCTGGGGCCTAGACATTCCGTGGGGCAGCGGGGGCACCCGGGGCAGTGCCTCACCCCGACACCAGGCCAGCAGAGACTGGTGGACCCCTCTCTTCCCCAGAGTGGGCCCATCAGGATGCCCAAAGCTCCCAGCTGGTGGTCACTGATTTTGCACTTTGACCCGTCCTCAAAACATGAGGTCTCTGTGAAAGCATAGACACCTTGAGAGTCCCAGCATATGGGTGTGTGGCTGATCTCCCTTCCCTCCTGGCAGGAAACCCAGAGCCCTGAGCAGTTGTCACCCAAGATGGTGGCCCCAGAGCCACCTGGCCAGGCTCCCCACTTTTTCCTGAGCTGGACTCTCATGGCTGGTAACAGCCCAGGGTACCCCTCCAGCTCTGCCCTCCCAACTCTGGCTGCCCCCAGGTGTTCCCCGTGTCCAGCCCTGTGATGGGGAGTGCAGAGCGAGGCTTGGAGGGTGGGCGGGGAGCAGGTTCTGATCTCAACTCTTCCGTGCTCTGGGTGAGCAAGGCGGCTGCCTAAGGTCCCAAGGACAAGAGCCCGCAGCGACGGTCAGGATCATTGAGGAGAACGCCTGGAAAGTGCTTGTTGAGTTCTCTGTCCATAGTAGGTGCTCGGTAAATGTCAAAGATTTCCCAAATATTTGTATTGCTGCCAAGCTGAAGCATTTAGAAATGCATCAGTTTCATCTCCTCTTTGTGGTTGGACTTGGGCCCAGAAGCTGGTCCCCAAAGTGGCTTCACTTGTAGGACCAAGTATGAGCCCAGCCCAGCCCACAGCTGCCGCGCAGCCCTGCGACCCATTGGGTTATAAGGTGGAGGTCTCGGAGCTTCTGCTAGGAGCCCCCACCAGCCTCTGAGTCAACCAGAGGCCCCGGCGGCTGACCCCCTACAGCCCCCGGGGCCACAGCCCGAAGTGTGGGTTGAAGGGCTCCTGGCAGAAGCCTGGCCTGCAAGCACCGGCATCCAAGCTTCCACAGCAAAGTGATCCCATGCCAGGAGCAGACGTGACGGCTCCCTCAAACCAGGAAAACCTGTTTAAAATTCCACATGTCACCGTGGGCCTTCCTTTTCCACCCTCCATCGTCCAGCAGGTGTCGGGCCCCAGGCTGGAGGCCACGTGCCAGGCTGGCAGGATTTGTCCACTGTGAAGCTCGACGCCCCCGCAGGCCCTGTGCTGCCCGCCCGGATCCCCCTGCCTCAGGATGCCCTCCACACCCTCCGAATTCCCAGCCGCTGCTCTGGGGCCTGCACAGAGGGCTTGGGCCCAGCACCTGGAAACTCCAAAGAGGCAAACGGGTTCATGTCCAGGTAAACCTCAAGATGTGGCTCTGAGGAGTTTCCTTTTATGGGTTTTACTGCTTTTTAAAAACACTCCTTATTTTCGAAATAGAATGTGACGCCCCACCCTCACCCTGTCCAGGAGGCCCAGCCAGTGCCTCTTCTGTGCCCCTAGACACCTCTGAGAACTCCAGGCACCAGCATTAATATCCTGGAGCCCTGGAGCCCCGGAGCCCCTGAGTGTGCCAGATCCTGAGTGTGCCGGGCCTGAGTGTGTGCCAGGCCCCAAGTGTGCCGTGCACTGTGTGTGTTGTGCCCCCAGTGTGCCAGGCACTGAGTGTGCCAGACCCCGAGTGTGCTGTGCCCTGTGTGTGTCATGCCCTAAGTGTGCTGTGCCCTGAGTGTGCCAGACCCTGAGTGTGCTGGACCCTGTGTGTGCTGGACCCTGTGTGTGCCAGGCCCTGAGTGTGCCATGCCCTGAGTGTGCTGGGCCTGTGTGTGCCAGACCGTGTGTGTGCCAGGCCCTGAGTGTGCTGGGCCCCATGTGTGCTGGGCCTGTGTGTGCCAGACCGTGTGTGTGCCAGGCCCTGAGTGTGCTGGGCCCCATGTGTGCTGGGCCTGTGTGTGCCAGACCGTGTGTGTGCCAGGCCCCATGTGTGCTGGGCCCTGAGTATGTCAGGCCCTACAGGCAGCGCCTGCAGATGGAGCTCACAGAGAGGCTAGAGGGGGAAATCTGCTTAAAGTCTTGTCTGCTCTCTTCATCCTTCAGTGGATGTGGAATTTAATCTGGCAGATACTTACATGGCTGCTGGATGGTAGAACTGTACAAGGTCCACCCAAGTGAGGAGGGAGCTGTGAGGCGTGGTGGGAATGGAGGATGGGGGCTGTGGCCTACTGGGCTCCCTGTGTCCACCCCACATCCACCCAGTAACTCATAAGCCACAAATAGATGTGCCTTGATCTACTTAATGCCTCATTGCTAGATAGTTGGATTGTCTCCTGTTATGCATTTGCCACCCAGAGCCTCATCATTCCTCCTGTCATTACTTTCTAGTGGGAGAGTGGGTCAAAGGTGTGAACTCCTGTATTCACCCCTAGGTTTTGTCAGATCGCTTCCGAGGCTGCCCTCTTCGCCGTGGCTGCTGAGTGCAGAGCTGGGCATCTGAGTGGACAGAGTGGTGCTCCGCTTCCTTGCATCTCCTGGGCCATGCGTGGTGACCTGTGCCCACTGCATCGCTCCTGTGTGCCCTGTGCATGTGACCGTGTCTTTCCCGTGTATTCAGTGCTGCTTCATGTGTGAGTTTCTCTGTGTTCCAAACCCCAACTACAGTGATTTTACAGATGAACCTTAATAGATGTGAAATCTATAAGTAGCTATTAATCTTTGTGTCATATTTACTGCAAATATTTCCCCCACTCCACTAGCTTCCAGTTCCGCTTTGTGGTTTGTGAGTGACCAGTGCATCCCGTTCCTGCTGCAGCAGCTGCAATGTGCACTGTCCTGCAGGAAGCCCTCGGGGTAGGGCCTGGGGGCTGTGGGAAGCTCAGCAACAAGGTAAGGGAATGGGCAGCTTTGTTTTATTTATTTATTTATTTTTACTATTTAATTATCTCACCTTATTACACTTTAATTAAAATATCGATCTTTACACAATACACTTGAACTGTGGAATAAAGCAGGACCAGATGTGGACCCTGGAGCTGACAGTTACTTGCCTCCCACCCAGCCACGTCCTAATTCTCTTTTTGCAAAAGCAACTACTTGTCCCTGTTAAAGCTGTTCCTTCTGGTCATGACTGTTTTATCACAAAATCATATGCCTCTATTTTTGTTGCTTGACTTACCCATTTTAGACATTATCTGTTTATTTCCTGCTGGACAGGTATTTTAGCTCCATCTCCCCTACTTCCACATCCACACTATAATTATATCTCTATTTTTAGTTAAATCCATAGTTAGTATTTACATTTTCATGACTAAGTAAATATTGCTTATGACTGAGCCAAACAAAGCATGATGGTTATTTTTCATTCCATCAACAGCTTCCCCCTGCCCTTCGCCCACCCTGATAGTTTTGACTTTTTTTCTCACAACACATTCTCATGTGTGTTCATAGTCTCCCGACTATCTTCTATCTGCCTTCACCCCCAGTGCTCCATTATGCCAGGAGGTCTCCTCAGGATGAGCCCCATGTGCAGCCTACATTGTGCTACTCTCTCAGATCCAGTGTGCAGCTCTCCTCCTGGGACTTCCCTCCACAACTTTTCTCAGTTGAATCCACTATGTGTTGGATCCCAGGTCTTCCTCTTTATTTTCTCCTTCATTTTGCTGGAGCACATCCTCAAGTAACTTTCTAAAATAAGTTTAAACAGGTAAATGTTTTGGAAGGTTGAATGCCACAAAACATCTTTATTCTACCTTCATACTTGACTCATAATATTGCTGGAACCAATTTCTAAGTTCAAAATCATTTTTCAGGAGCTAGGAATTGAACTCAACCTATCTAATTCCAAAATTAGGGTTATTTTATTTGACACGATCTCTGGCTAGGAAGCAAGCACAACAGCTCCACCGTTATTGGCAAGTTACTGAAAGCAACCCTTTGACAGCAGCCGCAGATCCACAGCCATACAGAATTTTCCTTTTTAAACAAGTTGCTCACCATTAGGATGCTCTGATTTCTCCATTTGTAAAATGAAGATTCTCTGTCAACTTTTGGTTTTAGTTTTTGGTCTGGCATATTTGGTAAGCTACAAGTGATCTTTGGCTGAAAATCAGTCATGTGTGGCGGGTCGTTTCACCAGGTGCCCTGCACCCAGAGATCTAGGGCCCTCAATCGTCCTTCAGTTGCTGTCAGTGCAAGGGCAATCTCACCCAACCCTCCACAGGGAAAGGCAACTGCCACACGCCTCTGAGAGCAGGGATGCAGCAAGCGCTGACTCTGGGCTTACAGGGGTCCCGCCCATAACAGCGCACCACAGACCAGGGCTCACCCCACAAACATTTTTCTCGCTCAGTCCTGGAGGCAGAAAGGCCAACATCAGGGTGCCAGCATGGCTGGCGTCTGGTGAGGCTCTCTTCCTGGTTTGCAGACTGTTGCCATGGTATTGTGATAATAACAAAATATAGATTTGGTCTTCGTCCCAGATTCCCAACACCAGAGCTTCTAAGAGACCTGGAACCTCTTGAGTGATGAGCGTGTCTTTTGTGTGCTGACGAGAGGACAGAGCTGGTGACCCTTGGGCAGCTTCAGGAAGGGACTGCTCCCCAGAAAGACCAAGGCAGGACTTATAGGTGAGGACTTTCAGATCCACCCCAACCTCCAGGAAGCGGGAGGGGAGAGAGGACAGGAGCTGAAGATGGAACTGATTACCGATGGCCAAGAATTTAATCCATTATTCTGTTAATGAAAAACCAAACTCTGTAAAACATTTTAAAGAGGTTTATTGGGACCCCTAATACGGTGACCACAGCTTGGAGAAAAAACAAACCCAAGAAGCCTAGAGTGAGTGTTCCTGAGGTGCCTGGATTACAGTCTGGCTTCATGCACTTTAGGGGACAGGCGTTACAGGTGGACGAGATATATATTGGCTCAGCTCGAACACGCGGGATATCTGGAAGCAAGCCTTATCGGTTATAGGTGGATTCAGAGAGTCTTCAGTTTGCGGCTGGTTAAAGGAGCAAAGCTTTATCTAAAACCTAGAGTCAGCGATGAGGACATCTGCACCCGAAACATGGGGCAGGGGTGACTAACAGGGTGCATGACTTGACTTAACCCTCGTCTGACATGGTCTTGGGTCCTGTTTGTAACTGGGGCTCTTATTGCCACGGTCAGTTCTGTCAGCCTTCTGATCTCTGTTTTGACATTAATGCCTAAATTCCAAAGGGAGTGGGAACAGCCAGGCGTCCAATCTCCCTTCCTGTTGCGGCCGGGAACTGTTTTCCAGGTTTCTCTGGGGTCCCCTTGGCCAAGAGCGGGTCCATGTAGTCACTGGGGGCCTTAGGACGTTATTTTTGGTGCCTGTGTTGGGGCTTAGAAGATCATACTCCAAAATGAGGGCCCCAGCAGCAGCCTCTGAAGCAAGTTTCTGTCTGAGCTTCTCCCATCCTCTGTGTCTCAGTACCACTCTCACTCAAGGTGCCATAGAAATGGGAATCCTTCTTCCCCACAGTGGGTCCTAGAAACCAGAACCCCTTTCCCCAAAGCCAGCCATACAACCAAAAACTAGGGCTCTAATTTTCCCTGTGCCTCTGTGTGTACAAACTGGCCATAAAGAAATGGTCTGACCTACCTGGCTTGGCTGTAGCTCCTAAGACCCCCATTCCAGAGAGGGTCCCACCCACACCCAGAAGGAGAGGGCGCTGCTCAGAGAGGCCAAGGAGAATCCAGACACACAGACCAGGCTGGCTTTCCCCACTCAGTCCATTAGCATCAGATCCAGCTAAGCCTCCAATCCTATTTCTACATGGCTGCCCATACTTCATTGAACCTAAGCATAAAAATGAGCTGTTTATCTGAAGGGTCCCTTGTATACACATTAATTTGTGTGCCTTTTCTCCAGTTAATCTGCTTTTTGTGAGTTGACTTTTCAGAGAACCCTTGTAAGGCTGAGGGAAAAGCTCTCCCTTGGCCCCACACCTACATAATGGAACCTCCATGAGGTACACATAATTTAGGATGTCTATCCTAAATGATGGGGTTCCAAAAACTCCCAGGGTGGTGAATTCATCCAGATGCCGGGAGGGAGGACGGTGCACTGCAACCCAGGTTGTTAGTCTCAGAATTGAATGGAATTCCAGGACATCCAGTTGGCATCCAAGGAGCTGGAAAACTGGGTGGTGTGGGAAATAAAAACCTGATAGGTTTGGGATCATGAGAGAAAGAGATACCCTTTAGCCACCTTCTCTGTTTCCTCATGAGAAAAGAAAGTCATGTTTATCTGAGGACTGTGAGTCCTTTTAAATTATCAGGCCCAAGGTGTTAAGATGAGGCAGCCGTCATGTCCTACTCCCCCCTGCCTACTCAAGCTGTGTATTCATCTCTGGAAACTGCTTGCTGTTGCCACAAGAGGCTATAAATTAATCGAACAATGCTACACTGGACACTGTAACCACACCCTATAGCTTAACAATATATAGCCCATCAATAGCTTATTTTTTTTTGAGACGGAGTCTTGCTCTGTCACCCAGGCTGCAGTGCAGTGGTGTGGTCTCAGCTTACTGCAACCTCTGCCTCCTGGATTCAAGCGAGTCTCATGCCTCAGCCTCCAGCGTAGCTGGGATTACAGGCACACGCCACCACACCAGGATAATTTTTTGTATTTTTAGTAGAGACGGGGTTTCACCATGTTGGCCAGGCTGGTCTCAAACTCCTCACCTCAAATGATCCGCCTGCCTTGGCCTCCCAAAGTGCTGGGATTACAGGTGTGACAACACTCAGCCTAGCTTATGTTATTTTAATGTAAATTCTTGGTAAACAACTTGGGACCTGCCTCTTCTCCCCAGAGTCCTGGATAACCCTCTCTGCCCTGTCTCCTTCCCACCTACCGCCCTGAAGGCTGCTTCCGCCTCTGCCCAGACTGCAGATGCTCCCAGGCTGTGTCCTCTGCCCGCCTCTTCTCTCCAGCCCTCTCTCATGGCAGTCCCACCTGACAACTCCCATGGCCTCCTGGGTGTCCTGCAAAGGCTTTGTCACTGGTGTCACTCCTCCAGGCCTCAGATAATTCCAGATACACAAGCGCTCTCCCAACAAGCCATATTCTCACCTCTGCAAAGCATTTCCAAGCATCTCCGTTTCCTCTGCATAAGCGACACGGCCCAGCCACCCGAGCCCTCGTTGCCATCCACCACTGGGCATCAGCTTCCACTCCCGTCTTTCTCGTGTCCTCTGGTCCAGCCCCTGGTGAGCTCCAGCCAAGCACCGCCTACTGGGCCTCTGGTCTTTACCTGTTCTGTTCCCTCTGCCTGGAGTTTTTTTAAGTAGAAAAATGCGAGAATGTGGAGTGGGAATGTAAAATGGTGTGGCTGCTGCAGAAAACACTTTGGTGGTTCCTGAAAAAGTTTAGGCATACACTTAGCATGGGACTCAGCATTTACCCCTTAAGCACACGCCCCATGGAAACAAAACCTGTTCCCTCGGAAACGCGCACACAGACGCTCGTAGCTACGTCCTTCGTAACAGCTGGAAGGCGGATGTTGGGAACAGGCCCCCCAAAATCTGGCCATAAACTGGCCCCAAAACTGGCCATAAACAAAATCTCTGCAGCACTGTAACATGCTCATGATGGTCATGACGCCCACGCTGGAAGGTTGTGGGTTTACCGGAATGAGGGCAAGGAACGCCTGGCCCATTCAGGGCGGAAAACCGCTTAAAGACATTCTTAATCCACAAACAATAGCGTGAGCGATCTGTGCCTTAAGGGCATGCTCCTCCTGCAGGTAACCAGCCAAACCCATCCCTTTATTTCCAGCCCATCCCTTTATTTCCCATAAAGAATGCCTTTAAATCTATAATCTATAAAAACAATGCTTATCACTGGCTTGCTGTCAATAAATATGTGGGTAAATCTCTGTTCAAGGCTCTCAGCTCTGAAGGCTGTCAGCCCCGATTTCCCACTCCACACCTCTGTATTTCTGTGTGTGTGTGTGTCTTTAATTCCTCTAGCGCCGCTGGGTTAGGGTCTCCCTGACCGAGCTGGTCTCGGCAGGCGGAGACGACCGGGTGTCCACCACAGGTGAAGGGATTAACAAATGGTGCCCGGTCCCTGGGGTGGGATATTATGCATCTGTGAACAGAAGTGAGACACTGATACACTGAGGGGACTCAGGGGCCACCACTGGGATGAGGCTTGGAAATGTGGCTTCCACCGAAAGAAGTGAGACACAAACGTTCGCACACCGCGTGATTCCTTTTATATGAAATATCCAAAACGGACAAA
The DNA here is from genome assembly GCF_000001405.40 of Homo sapiens. NCBI lineage: Eukaryota > Metazoa > Chordata > Mammalia > Primates > Hominidae > Homo > Homo sapiens. The sequence goes on from NC_000013.11 coordinate 113,926,563, forward strand.
TCCATAGAGACAGAAAGCAGATCTGTGGTTTCCAGAGGATGGGGAAGGAATGAGGAGTGATTACTTAATGGGGATGAGCTGTTGTTCTGGAGGGATGAAATGTTCTGAAACTGGAGAAGCAGAGGTTGCACAACGTCGTGAATCCAGCAAATGCCGCCGAAGTATATGCTTCAAGATGGCTGTTAAGTGAATTTCACTCCATAAAAGGTGTGTTTTAGAGGGTTATGCCCATGAGCGAGCCTACCTATACATGTGCAGTGTCACATTACTGAGACGATTCTGTTTAGAGCAAAGCCACCTACCTCCCACGTCCCTTTCCAGCCTGTCTTCTTAGCCACCTGCCTCCCACATCCTTCTCCAGCTTTGTCTCCTTGCATGCAGCCCTCTCAGGGCTTTTGAGGCCTGGAGGCCAAGGGTGCTGGGAGGTCCCACTTTGTACCCTCTCCCGAGAGCTTTGAGGGGTACCTGCCGCCTCTAGCTGTGCCTTCTCTGTGCCCTTCAACTCTGGAGTGAGGTCAGATCTTGGCTCTGGGGCCACCACCAGCTGTTTCAGGCTTGCAAAGTTCTGTCCGACAAAATACAGCTCCGCTTCCCTGTGGGGGGAAGCATTGGCCCCAACAGGCCTTCTTCACCAACGGGGACAGCAGTCCCTTGAGTGGAGCCCTGGACTCAGGGAGCTCTGGTCAGTGAAACTCTCAGCTAGGGGCTAAGGGTATGGGGACCTTCATATGTGGGACAGGCTCCTCGCTGGGGACGCTGCCACCAGGCCTGTGAGGCAGCCAGCCAAGTTCCACTTGCTGCAGCTGGGGCTGCTCTGGACGGCCAATCCAGACACCTCCCCCCTCTCCACCCTCTTTCCATCCTCAGGTTTGCATTTCTTAGGTCTGGCACTTCAACTGCAAAGTACAAGTCCTGGGCTATCTCCTCCTGCTCTGCTGAAGGCCACATCGATGCTTGGAAGGTAGGGTCAGCCCAGTCCCTTGCTCCACACACCCAACTACACTGATGGAGCGACCGTCTACACAGGGATCCTACGGTGGGGAGTGAGCCTTGCTGGCCTGATGCATGGCAGTGGTTCCTGCTCCAATAAGACCAAGAATAATTAATAACTGTGACTAAGTTAGAAGCTTTGGCTGCATCTGAATTCACCAGCGTTTCCAGCTCCTGAGGCCATGTGCGGTGTCACCTCACTCCTGGCAGACAGACTCCCACTCGGAGGATGATTTTTCATAGCCAGGGTCGCTCTGTGGACCTTGGATGGACCAACGTGCTTTCCATGTCCAACTTTGTCAAGATCCGGGGAAGATTCTCCAGCAAGTCTCTTGGAAACATGTGCATGTGGCCCCAGGCGACGTGAGGGGTGCAGTCTGCCTGCGTTATGCAATGCTCAGGCCAGTTTTCCCTGAGAGAGGAATGCTGCCGATCCTCTGCGGTAACCCACAAAACTCCACGGAGATGCTTGGAAGGAAAAGCATCGCGTCCTCCAGATGTTTTGAAATGTTCAAGTATTTAAAAGGGAAATGGAATTTCTGTTTATCCTTTTAAGTGACAATTATTCATTGCGTCTTCCTGGCCACAGCTCATTCAGCACTACTGCAGATCCGGCCAGACCCCCAGGAGCCGCGGCCCCTGCACAGCCAAGGCCAAGAAGCTCCCATCGTGGAGGGGGGCGCATTCCGGACCTGTGAGGCCCGGGGTTCGTTTTTATGCCTCCTTAAAGGGATGAGCCAGAGAAGAAAGTCTTCGCAAAGCCTTTGCCCCAGGAGGGGCGGGGCTGCGCAGGGCGCCTGTGGAGGCCGTGGCCGGGCAGGTGGGGAGGCTCACACACAGGCCAGAGGCTTCCCTGGAAACTGACGCCCTAGGGCAGGTCCAGCTCCTGGATGGTCGCAGGTGAAGAAACGCCAGGCCCAAGGGTCCTGGGAGAGAGAGGGGAACAGCGCCCAGGAAGAGGTGCAGGTTCCCAGGGACTGCAAGGGCCGCCGCCACCCTCCCACACCCCACCCTCGCTGCATCACCAGTCAGCCCAGGGCAGGCTGCTGACCCTCCCTTGGCCTCAGTTTCCTCATCTGTAAAATGGAAAAAGAAGCATGTCCACCTCACCAGTGGTCACAGTCACAGGTGCTGACATGGAGAAGGATTGATGCGTCCTCCTGAGTGCTGCCTTGTCATGCTATAAACCAGGAGGCCTGGCTCTCTGCCTCCCGGGAAGGTCTGTTTCTAATCCTGTGCTGGGTCTGCGTGGCTCCATGGCCTCAGAGGCTGACACCGAGTGTGGTGTCCCTGGGTCACCGTGCTCCTTGGTTTGGTCCAGCAGGAGAAAGGGCAGCCTGCCAAGGAGAAGGCTGTGAGCTTGGCAGGGGAGAACTTAGGCGCTGTGCCTTTGGGAGGCTGGGATTTAGATCACAGCTGGGAAGCTAAGTCCTGACTGCACTGGCCGGAACCAATGGGCTCCAGTAGCCGGATGCTCTGCCAAGTCAGGAGGTAATAACCGCCACGGCCTGGGAGAGAAGCTGGCACAGCCGTGGGCCCCTGCCCTGCGGTCTGGCCTCGCAGGTCCCCAGGCCGTGTACAGACACTGTGCGGCAGGGAAGCAGAGGCAGCCATGGGGAGCAACCCTGTTTCTCAGTGCTACATGCCTACTCTCCCTGAGCTGATGTCTGGAAGACAGTAAAGGAGACCTGAGGCAGTGCTGCCCCTCCTTCCGTCTGCCACCTCCTCAGGGCTGGCCCAGGCCCTGCAGAGCAGGTGGTGGTGGCTGCTGGTGGTAAAGCCCGTCCATCCAGAGCCTCGCTCTGCTCCCAAACCACCCACCTCCCGCTGCACATGTGGCAGCTTCAGGAGCCTGGCGGGGCTAAGAGGAGATGACAGACCCCAGCAAGGACAGGCTCAGCTTCTTGGGGACCGAGTCATTGCCTGTTGCTTCTCCTGGGGGCCTCGACTGTCCGAGTGTGTTCAGGCACACGGTGCCCTGTCTGTTTCCCAGGCACTTGGGCCAAGGCTGGACAGGGAGGTGCCATGTGGGACGAAAGCCCAGGCTGTGCAGTGCTGGTCACCGGGAGTGACCATGGGTGAAGTCGCGCTGTGAGTGACTGCCTGTTATCACTGACCACGCAGGGCCATCCTGGGTGACCCGCTGTGCCACAAGCAACTGGTTCACATTGGAGCCCCCCTCTGGAGCCCTGGGCAACCCGCTGCCAGTGGGCCTTTCTCCTGAGGCCCCTGGAGTCCCGGAGCATCCCGTGAGTTCATCTGCCATACCTGTGATTGCCATGTGGGCCCAGCGCCCTCCAATGGAAAAGCTGCATTCAGTTCTGCCCGAGGATCCCAGGCCTACGACACTGTCCTCAGGCTGCCAGGGAGCAGGAGGCTGTGGGGATCTGCGTTCTTGCCAGGCCTGGGAGCAGCAGCCAAAAAGTGGACTTACGTGGACAAAATGTTGGGCCAGGGAGGAGCCCTCGGCTCTGGACGGATGTCTCTGGTGCTTTTATGCCACGTGCATTTCTGCAGATTTGATGCCCGGCAGCCAGCACTGGGCTGTGGCCATGGTGGTGAGGCAGCCTTGGGTCTGCACGAGGCTCGGAGGCCTCCAGGAACCTCCCAGGAATGTGACTGTGCCTGGAGAGAAGCGCCATCTGCACGGCGCAGTCCAGATGCTTCTCTCCTACAAGCCCATCATCAAACACACAGCTGCCCAGACTTCAGCAGGATTTGTGCACAAGAAACGCAAAGGCACAGTCCATCGGGTGAGGCAGAGGTGGAAGGAGCACCGGGGTGGGAGTGGAGGAGCACCGAGGTGGGGGCGCAGGAGCACCGAGGCGGGGGCGCAGGAGCACCGAGGCGGGGGCGCAGGAGCACCGAGGCGGGGGCGCGGGAGCACTGAGGCTGAGCTGTCTCTAGTGATCTCTCAAGCCTCAGTGCAGTGGCCACAGGGCAAGGTGCCTCCTGGTGTGTCCTCGCCTCCAAATCAGGCTGCTCCACTTCCCAGGTCAGAGTCCTGGGGGGTTGTGTTGACCCTGAGCCCCCACGAGCATCCAATCCAGCAGAGCTGGAAGGACCCAAGAACCTGCATTCCTCATGGCTCCCATCATGCTTCCGGTCCAGGAGCCACCATCCAGACCACACTCCCATTCATCCCCTGGCCACGGAAGCTGAAGCCTTGGTTTCCCCACCTGTAAAGTGGGAGTATCAACATCACCCACATCAAAGGGCCTGGATTAGATGCGGTGATGCCCGTGGACTTTAGCAGCCCCGGTCCTCCAGGGGCCCTCCCAGGGAGCTGAGGCCCGGGTGGTCCTGGCGGCCGCTCCTTCTCCAGGCCGAAGACAGGAAGGTCTCTTGGGCTGACCTCAGGCAAGAGGCGGGGTGGGTCACGGCCTCCAGGGCCAGGCTGGGGCCTCCACAGAAAGCCCGTGGGTGGCGAGAGGGAGCCGGCTGGGGTGACTGAGGGTCGCTGGGTAGATGAGGGAGGGACCCGGGGTTCTTGTGTTCACGTGTGTATTTGCCCCGTGTTTCTGCTGACATGCCACGTGTGCAACAAACAGGCTTGGCGAGCCATCCCCACCACCCAGGCCGAGACGCCAGACGTGACTGGCACCCCAGGGTTCCCTCCCGGCCCCCAGAGGTAACCCCAATGCTGGTTTACCACAGATGACTCATTCTGCCTGTTTTAGGGTTTTGAGTAAATGAAACCCAACAGCGTGCAGTCTTTTTGCCTGGCTTCCCTTTAACCACGTCTGAGAGGCTCACTTTGCGGTTGCTTCTGTGGCTCCTGGACAGTTTCCCTTGTGCGGACACAACTCAGTGAGAGCACCCCTTCTTCCATTTGTAGACTTTCCAAATAGTCCAGGCGAGAGAGGCTCAGGTCTTGAGTTCAGGGAGGGGCAATGCACAAGCAGACGCCAAGTGGAAGGGAGTACACCCCTCCCTTGGCGGGGAGGCCCTCGGGCTGGTGGGGATGAGCGCCCCTCAGACGGCACCTGCGGGTGACAGGGTGTGACATTCTGCTGTTTCTCGGAAGTAACTCGCAAGCAGCATGGGGGTTCCTAGTGTGTTTCACAGACTCTCACCAAATGTTAGGGTTCACTCCTTGTCCTACAGCTTAAATACACCAAAAGTGAGAAAATTACGAGATAACATTTCCCTCAGAGACCCATATTCTGTGTTAAAGAATTCTTCCTTCTACCTAAATCCATCTCTTTACGGTCAGATGTCATTGGTTGTGGTATTTTGTCCATTTTCAGCTTTGTTTAGATTTTTTTGACATGCAATTAAATGCCCATATTTAAGACGTACGGTTTGATAAGTTTTGACATTCTGCTGCACCCACAGAGCCATGACCACAATCGAGACCATGGACATCCCCTCCCCCAGGCTGGCCCCTGCCCCGTCCCTCCACCCTCCTGCTCCTCTGATGACACTGACCTTTCTGTCACTGTAGATTAATTCATTTCTGTCCTGGGTAACACAGCGTGTATACTCTTATTGCCTGACATTGTCTCACAGTGTAATTATTTTGAGATTCATCCAACAATTCATCCTTTCAATGCTGGGGAGCACTAGTTGCATGGGTGTATCATAATTGGTTCATCCACTGACCCGTGGAGGACGTTCAGGTTGTTTTGGATTTTGGTGATTACAGGCAAGGTTGTTGTGAACGTTTACGACACAGTCTTTCTGTGGACGTTCCCAGAACAGACATGTCTGGGTCACATGGTGACTCTGTGTAGCTTTTTAAGAAATGGCCGAACCGTTCCCTGTGGTTCTTGTGTTATGATCCTGCCAACATGCTGCGCGCTCCAGTTGCCCCACATCCTCGCCAGCCCTTGGCAGGGCCACTTTTGAACATGTTAGCCATGCTGGTGGGTTTGTAGGCACCTCTCATACTGGTCTTCGTTTGCACTTCCCTAAGGACTAAATGGTTGTCAGCATCGTCTTGCGTGCTTCTGTCTGTTAATATAGCTTCTTTGGTGAAATATCCATTCAAATATTTTGCCTACTTTTTAATTGAATTGTTTTGTCTCATTATTGTGTTGAAAGGCTTCTTGACATGTTTTAGAAAGAAGTCCTTTTTGAACATGGTTTGCAAATAATTTCTCCAGCTTGGCAGCTTGCCTCTTTATAGTGTCTCTTAAAGGGCAAAAGTTTTAAATTAATAAAATTTAGCTTATTGGTTTTTTCATGTAGTTTGAACTTTTTGTGTTCTATTTAAAAAACCTTTCCCAAACTAAAAGTCACCATGATTTTATCTTATCTTCTTCTTACAAGTTTTACTGTTTTAGTTCACACATTTAGATTTATGACCTATTACAATTTTTTTTTTTGAGATGGAGTCTCGCTCTGTCAGCCACACTGGAGTGCAGTGGCGTGGTCTTGGCTCTCTGTAACCTCCACTTCCCAGGTTCAATCAATTTTCATGCCTCAGTCTCCTGAGTAGCTGGGATTACAAGCACATGCCACCATGCCCAGAAAATTTTTGTATTTTTAGTAGAAACAGAGTTTCACCATGTTGCCCAGGCTGGTCTTGAACTCCTGACCTCAAATGATCCACCTGCCTCAGCTTCCCAAAGTGCTGGGATTACAGGTGTGAGCCACTGCATCCAGCCCAAAGTTAATTGTTGTATGTGGTGTGAGGTAAGGGTTTTGAGGATTTGTAATTGTTTTATTTTGTTGCTTATGGGTGTCCAAATGACCCAGCATTCCTTGTGGAAAAGGTTATTCTCTCCCTGTTGAATTGCCTCAGCACATTTATCAAAAGTCAATTGGCCATAAATGAGTAGTGGCCATAGATGAGTAGGCCTGGGTGTTGTTCTGTCTCATTGACCTATTTATCTGTTATAATGATTATATTGACTGTCTTGATTAAAATCAAGTAATATAAATTCTTCAACTCTGTTCTTTTTTATGCTTGCTTTGGTTACTCCAAGTCCTGTGCATTTCTGTATAAACCTTAGAATTAGCTTACCAATTTCTACAAAAATCCTGCTGGGATTCTGATTGGGATTGTGTTGATTCTGGAGATCAATCTGGGGAGAGTTGGCATCTTCCATGAACATGCTATGGCTCCATTTATTTAGGCCTTTTTTCATTCCTCTCATTGATGTTTCTCAGTTCTCAGTATATAGGACTTGTAAATCTTTTGTCAAGTTTATTTCTAAGTCCTCAGTAATTTTAGCTTTGCATTTTGAGCTAATTATAGCTTCACAAAAAGTTGCCGAATAGTACAGAGGGGTCCCACATTCCATTCCTCAGCTTCCTACAATGCAGCACTTTGCAGAGCTACAACAAATTCTTAAAACCAGGAAACTGATATGGGCACCACGCAAGTCACTGGATGACGGAGCTCATTTGGACATCCTAGGTTTCCGTGTGTTTGTTTTATTCTGGGTACGACTCCGTGTGGAGATTCTGCGATGTGTGGCCGCATATGTGGATTTCTGTAACCACAACCACATTCGAGATGCATGACCGTCCATCCCCACAGGTGTGAGGTGTGCCCCGCGGGGCCCTTCTCTAACCCACAGCACCCGCCGGCGTCACTCATCCTTTCAAGAGTGTTATGGGAACGGAGTGCGGAATGCAGCCTTTGAGATGGAGTTTTCTCCCAGAGTCTGTTTCTCTCCGTTGCTGAGCACGTTGTGTGGTGTGGAGGCACCACGATGCGTCGGACACGCACCTGCTGACAGACAATGGGGCTGTTCCCAGGTTTTCGCTGTTCCAAATAAAGCTGCTATGATCGTTTGTGTGACTATACATTTTAATTTCTCTGCGATAAATGCCCAGGAGTACAATCGCTGGGTCATAATGGCAGGTATGTGTTTGACTTTTTATGAAACTACCAGACACACAGGATGGATGGAGATGAGTCGGATGCATGGGCAAGGGTGTGGGGCCACAATTAGAAGAAGGGGTCTTGCAATTTTCCTTTTAAAAATCACTTTCAAATAAAGGAAATAGACCCACACATACATGGTAAATTACTTTCCAACCAAGGTGCCAAGACAACTCAATGGGAAAAGAAAGATTGTGTGTGCTGTGGGCTAATTGGCTACGGTGAATCGAACTGCCCTCCAAACAGTGGACTCTGGGCAAGTGCTCGAGGCCTGCCTTTCAGTGGTGATCCTCACCACGCCATCTGGGCCCCACTGCTGGGCTCCACGCATACACACTGGAAAACCAGACCTGAGCGTGTCGCTGCGGAGATGTGCTGTGAGCCACCCTGATGGGGTCACACGGGAACTCCGCCAGCACCTCTAACGGGCCCCACTTGGTAGGTGCCCCAGTTATGGTCTCCAGAATCCAGCCAGGAGGGAATGTAGTCTGAAGAGAAGCAAGTTCTAAACGGGCTCTGGGAAGGGGCTGTCCTTGCACCCGGAGTGAGGACGAGGTATTGGCCCTGTGGGGAGCTGACTGGCTACAGGGAAATATTTTTGAGGAAATCCTGGCCTTCTTCCCTTCCATTCCCACTGGCTCAAAGGAGCCAAGGCATTCCTCCCTCTTCTGGGCAAGTTCTCCATTTTGCTTCCGACGTTACAAGCCACTTCAGACCCTTCCTCCCAGCACAGCCCGAGGGGGGGAACAGTTTCCTGGCCAGTGGCGAGAGGGCCTGGGCTGGCCGCCTTCCTGAGGCCTCAGCCTTGCTGGGATGGGGCTTGGTCCCTGCGGCTGTGGCAGTGACTCGGCCCCCGGCGCCCTTCAGCTCCTCAGGGAGAGGTGGAAAACAGCTCTGGAAAGCCACTGGGAGGGGCGACTGCAGAGGTTAGGGGCCCCTGGCCCTGACCGCTGCTTCTCCAGCAAGCCTGGCCCCCTTGTGCTATTAACCAAGAAATGCTTGGCCTGTTTGCTTCCGGCTGTGAAGCGCTGGCCCTGGTGGAAGCCAGGACAAACAGAGCCCGGGGTAGCTGCTGCGGGGCTGAGCTGGGCTGAGCCAAGTCCTGATTCTACCAACCCTGGCTTTTGTGGGATTTCAAATTGTCCTCTTAAATATCTCCCAGAAAGCAAACATTCTTCCTCTTTAATGAGGAAAGGGATTGGTAGAAGGGGTCTCTTGACATCTCCCTGGAAGGGCCAAACTGGCAGCCACTGGCAACACCACTCGGGTTACCCACGGCAACCATTGTTTTGGGGTAAACTGCATACGTGCCCTTAGGGTGGGAGTTTTCCTGCCGGGAATGCATTTTCATTTTTACACTGAACTTTTCTCTGCTCCCAGCCCGCCAGCCACCGGCAAAATACACCTCCCAGATTAGGGTGCTTTAAAAGAGAAATAAACAGCCCTGTGCCCCCAGGGGCCATGCTTGGGCCTAGTGTCAGCTAAAAAATAGCAGCTTTATGAATCGTGATCACAGACAATCCTTGTGCCATGTGAAATGGACGCAGTCACACTGGATATCATTTTAAAATCTAGAGTTGTTTAGCACTGAGTTGATGAAAAGACGGCAGGATTCCATTAAGTTCAAAGTTCTCTAGCATTGGACAGAAAAGCCATCTACATGTAACCGATTTTCATCAAGTTCAGAGGCTCAAAGATGGAGGTGGAAAAGACAGACCTCAATGAAGAGCCGGAGAAACTCAGGAGTCAATTGAGTCATCAGCCCAGGTGAGTGTGGCTGCTTGGAGTCTCTGGGTGAGCAAGTAACTGCCAGCGGCTTCTTCCTACTCAAGGCCCGGATAGAGCCCATTCATCCAGGCAACATCCATGAGTGTTGATAGAACATTCATCCAAGTTCTAAATGGGCTCTGGGAAGGGGCCGTCCTTGCGCCCAGAGTGAGGATGCGGTATTGGCCCCGTGGGGAGCTGACCGGCTATGGGGAAATATTTTTGAGGAAATCCTGGCCGCCTTCCCTTCCATTCCCACTGGCTCAAAGGAGCCAAGGCCTTCCTCCCTCTTCCGGGCAAGTCCTCCACTTTGCTTCCGACATTACAAGCCACTTCAGACCCTTCCTCCCAGCACAGCCCGAGGAGGGGGAAACCGTTTCCTGGCCAGTGGCGAGAGCTGCAATAGAGAAACAGTTTTACACACGCAGAGCCGGCTAAACAGGACACTAGAGTTTTATTGTTACTCACATCAGCCTCCCTGAAAATGCAGAGACCAGGGTCTCTCAAGGCTAGTTTAGGGGAAGAGAGTCGGGTGGGTAGGCAAGGGCGCTTGCTGCTGACTGGTTGGGGGTGCAGTCGTCGGGGTGTGGGAAATGGTCCTTGTGCCCCGAGTCGCTTCTGGGTGGCACCAGGGAGGCTGACCGGTCCAGGGGGGGAAATCAGTTGTCAGACTTGCAAAAAACCTGAAAAGACATCTCAAAGGCCAGTCTTAGGTTCCACCGTAGTGACGTTATCTGCGGGAGTAGTTGGGAAGTTGCATATTTTGAGCTCCAGAATAAAGGGGGGTAATCCTTTGTGTCTCCATTTTAGCAGAATTCAGGCTCCTCTCGTCCTCGTAGCCTAGTGGTCTCTCAATAGCTTTACAAAGGCTGTTGAGTTTTGCGGAAGGGTTATTATCATTTAAGCTATAAACTAAATGTCTCCCAGAGTTAGCTTGGCCCAAGCCCAGGAATAATTAAGGGCAGTTTGAAGGCTAAAGGCAAGATGGGAGTTGGTTACCTCGGGTCTCTTTCACTGCCATAATTTTTCCACTGTTATAATTTTTGCAAAGGTGGGTTCATGCCTGTGGCATCCCCGGTCCGAGGCTACAGGACTCTCCTCCCAGGGATCCAAGTGACTGTGCAGTGACCGTGGTCACGCCACAGCCACCAGCCAGAGTGCAGTCCACATCGTGGCCACGTATGGCTCCTACAATCTCAAGCTTGCCGAGAAGGCAGCCGTAAACCCGCACAGGTTAGAGTCCTTTCCCTTGGTTATGGTAACAATCATTAGCACTGGGGTCTTTCCGAATCCAGATGCAGCCACGACCTCTTCTCATACACAGCTGCAGGTGAGATGAACATCTCAGTAGCGTTGTAAACCAAAAGGCGTCTGAGATAAGGCTCAGTCAATTTAGGAAGTTTATTTTGCCAAAGTTCAGGACGCACCTGTGACACAGCCTCCGGAGGTCCTGACAACATGCCTGAGGTGGTCGGCGCAGAGTTTGGTTTTACATATTTTAGGGAGACATGAGACATCAACATACATCGGATGAACGCTGGTTCGGTCCGGAAAGGCGGGACAGATGGAAGCAGGGAGGAGGCTTCCAGGTCGTAGGTAGATAAGAGACAAACGGTTGCACTCCTGAGTTTCTGATTAGCCTTTTACGGAATGCACAATTTACAGGAATGGTCACTCATGCCTGAGTCTGGCTCAGTGAAATGAGGGCAGAGGAAGTGATCAGCTGTGTGCGTTTGTCTCACGGGAGCAGTGGGGTGACTTTGAGTTCTGTCTGTGCTTTGTCCACAAGGAATTTCTTTGTGGGCAAATCGTGAGGCAGGCGTGTAGCTTTTTAAAATCTTTGTAGTTCCCTTACTCAGGAATAGAATGGGAGGCAGGTTTGCCTGGCACAGTTCCCAGCTGGACTTTTCTCTTAGGCTCAGCGATCTGGGGTCCCGAGAATGATTTTCCTTTCACAAGATGAACATGCAGCTCAAAGGGGGAGTGGGATGTGGTTGCGGCCTCAACTGAACGCCTCTCTGGACCCAATAATTAAAAGGACTTGCTCCTCAGATAAAAGTGCTTTTCTTTTCTCAATAGTGAGTCTATGAGGTTCCTATCTGCTGCTTTAACAGATTACCACAAACCTAGTGGCTTCCAACAGCTCAAATGTATTATCTTACAGTCCTGGAGGGGAAAGTGTGAAAAGGGCCTCAGGGTGCTGAAGGCAGGGCTGGCAGGAGCCTGGTGGAGAAGCCACTGCTTTCTTTTCTCAGCCTCCAGAGACGGCAGCAGCCTTGGCCCACGGCCCATCTTCAAACCCAGCATCTTCAAATTGCTCTCTCTTTGACCCGCCCACCTGCCTCTAAGGAGCCCAGACCTTACGCTGGGTCCAGCAGCCTCTCCATCCTCCCTAAACTCCAGGAGCACCCACCGAATAATCCAAGGCTATCTCCCGACTTGGGATTCCTAACCTAGTTCCCCCTGCAAGGTTGCCCTGTTCAAGCGTCCTGGGGGTTCAGCCTCCGACGTCTTTGGGAGGGGCCCTTGCTGTGCCCACCACTGGGAGTCGCTCCCTTCCACACGTCCGCCGTGAACTTTCCATTCCAGAAACACTGCACCAGCTGTAGCTTCTCTCAACACACAGCTCTTTCCTGTCTCCAGGTTTTGCTCAAACTTCCCACTGCCCAGCACGTCCTTCCAAACAGCCTTCACTCACTCTCAATCCCTATGGAAAACTCAGCTTGGGCCTCACGCCCAGGAAGCCTCCTGGCCCCAGGAGGCTCAGGCCCTGCTGTGCACACCACAGCACCTGCGGCCTCCCTGGGAACCCAGCCACCCCCACCCCAGGCCCACGTTTCCTCAGCCAGCTCCTCCCACGATCCCTTCCAAGCTGGCATTCCAGACCCGCCAGGTGCCTTTCACCCTGTTGTAAACTCCGGGAGGGCAGAATTCAGGTCGGACTCATCTCTGTGGCCTCAGTGGAACTTGCTCAGCTCAGGGTCAGGGACAACAGCGTCCGGCTTCTCACTCCTTCAGGTCCCGGCCCTTTGCACATAGGCTTGGCTGCCTGACACGTTCCAGCCAAGGGCTGCAGCTGGCCCCTTCCCCCCGCCCCGGTGATGCCAGAAGCCACATGTTCCGGAGTGTGGAGCTGCAAGATGCAGGCAACCCAGAGCCAGAAGGGGACCACCCGATGGGGAGGACAGAGACCACCCGATGGGGAGGATGCAGACCACCCGATGGGGAGGACAGAGACCACCCGATGGGGAGGACGCAGACCACCCAACGGGGAACACGGGGATCACCCAACTGGGAAGATGGGGGCCACCTGGACGGGGGGAACGGGGACCACGTTGATGGGGAGGACAGAGACCACGTGGATGGGAAAGATGGGGACCACGTGGATGGGGAGGGCGGCACCACTCAGCCTGGTTCACACCTTTTGCAATAAGCAGCCGCCTCCTCCTGGGCTTTGGGCTGAAGGGGGACCTGCTCCAGGTTCTTAGCCGTGAAATGGGCACAGACCCGTTTCTCACCCCTGACAGGGAGGCTGTCCAGCCCTGGAGATGTTGTCACTCAGGCTCCCAGTGACCTCCTGTGCGCTGTGTATCCTGGGCCAGGGCACTGACCTCTCTGGGCCCAGCGCCATCTCATGCTCACAGGTCTGATGACAATACTTCTCAGGAGGTGCTGGGAAGGCCAAAGGGATCATCCCATGTGCTTCTAAGTCAAACACGATTCAGCGTGAAAAACACTGGCCTGGGTCATCAAGAAACCGGGTGCCAGGCAGGATGAAAGGAAGTGCCGCTGGCCTCATCTGAGCCAGAGCCTCCTGTCTGTCATGTGTGTGGGCTCTGACGCAGGGGGACCAGGATGCCCGGGTGGCAGCCGTGATCAGGGGAGGCATTCGGGCCACCTCAGAGGCCCCAAGAGGCTACCTGCCTGCCTGGCCCTGCCCATGCGGCCAAAGTCCACCCCAGGGGCGGGGGCTGCGCCTCGGCCTCAGATGCACCGTCAGCCGCATTTGGCTCCTCTTACTACTGAAGAGGGGAAGGAAGAGTGTGCAGCAGGGGCCTGGGCCGTTTCCCCGGAAGCGAAGAGCAGGAGGCCAGAGCCAGGTGGGCTCCCCTAGACCCTGCGGTGCTGCCGCCAAGCCCCCCACCCCCAGATGAGCCAGCCTGCAGCACACACTGGCGGGGTGGATGCCAGCCGAGTATTCCCAGGGGAAGCACTTTCCCTGTGCCACCCAGACAGAAGACGCAGGTGCTGGTTTCCTATGGGGCTCTGCGTGAGGATGGGCGTCTGGGACCCTGGTCTCCTCTAGGACTCCATGTGTGAGGCTGGGCATTCGAGACCCTGGTCTCTGGGACTCCATGTGTGAGGCTGAGCGTTCGAGACCCTGGTCTCTGGGACTCCATGTGTGAGGCTGAGCGTTCGAGACCCTGGTCTCTGGGACTCCATGTGTGAGGCTGAGCGTTCGAGATCCTGGTCTCCTCTGGGACTCCGTGTGTGAGGCTGAGCGTTCGAGACCCTGGTCTCTGGGACTCCATGTGTGAGGCTGAGCGTTCGAGATCCTGGTCTCCTCTGGGACTCCGTGTGTGAGGCTGAGCGTTCGAGACCCTGGTCTCTGGGACTCCATGTGTGAGGCTGAGCGTTCGAGACCCTGGTCTCTGGGACTCCATGTGTGAGGCTGAGCGTTCGAGATCCTGGTCTCCTCTGGGACTCCGTGTGTGAGGCTGAGCGTTCGAGACCCTGGTCTCTGGGACTCCATGTGTGAGGCTGAGCGTTCGAGACCCTGGTCTCTGGGACTCCATGTGTGAGGCTGAGCGTTCGAGATCCTGGTCTCCTCTGGGACTCCGTGTGTGAGGCTGAGCGTTCGAGACCCTGGTCTCTGGGACTCCATGTGTGAGGCTGAGCGTTCGAGACCCTGGTCTCTGGGACTCCATGTGTGAGGCTGAGCGTTCGAGATCCTGGTCTCCTCTGGGACTCCGTGTGTGAGGCTGAGCGTTCGAGACCCTGGTCTCTGGGACTCCATGTGTGAGGCTGAGCGTTCGAGATCCTGGTCTCCTCTGGGACTCCGTGTGTGAGGCTGAGCGTTCGAGACCCTGGTCTCTGGGACTCCATGTGTGAGGCTGAGCGTTCGAGACCCTGGTCTCTGGGACTCCATGTGTGAGGCTGAGCGTTCGAGATCCTGGTCTCCTCTGGGACTCCGTGTGTGAGGCTGAGCGTTCGAGACCCTGGTCTCTGGGACTCCATGTGTGAGGCTGAGCGTTCGAGACCCTGGTCTCTGGGACTCCATGTGTGAGGCTGAGCGTTCGAGATCCTGGTCTCTGGGACTCCATGTGTGAGGCTGAGCGTTCGAGACCCTGATCTCCTCTGGGACTCCATGTGTGAGGCTGGGCATTCGATACCCTGGTCTCTGGGACTCTGTGTGTGAGGCTGGGCGTCTGAGACCCAGGAACGTGCTGGAAACAGGAGCTGTTGACATCGTTTCCCAGGCTGGGCTGCTGCTGTTTCTCTGCCTGTCAGATGGAGACACAGTTCCAGCCTCGCAGGTGGCCTTCAGCACAGCACGCCAGGCACCCTGGGTGCTGCCCCCACTCTCCCCACCCAGAAGGCAGCTGCGCAGGGTCCCTGGCCTGGAGGACCTGCCTGGACCTGCCCAGCGCCCTGGACGAGGTCTGCCCTAGGCCTCCGCATGTCACCTGTCCTCTGAGCAGTTCCTGCCACTGCTTTACTCTCACCGCCTTCCTCTCCCCTTAGCACTTTACCTCCAAATGGGCTGTCCTTGCCGGCGGCTGACTCATTGCTCCTCCAGAGCAGGGAAGTTTGCAATGAGCTGAAGTCCTGTGGAGCCCAGAGCCGGAGGCTCACCCCCAGATTTAATTAATTAAAAAGTAAGAGCTTGTGAAGGTCACAGGGGCCAACATGAAGAGCTGCCAAAGGCCGATCATGGTGGCATGAGCAACAAAACGCACAGAGGCCGTGCTGATTGCAAACCACAGAATCCACTACTGTGGTCACTGACCTACACTTTTCACAAACCACAGAATACAATAGACGCATATGAGTTCTGCTGCTGTCGCCACTGGCCGGGTCAACACGCAGCCCGGGAGGAGGGACCCACTGCTCTTCCCTGCAGGAGAACCTCGATGGATAAATGCCTGAGGAAATGGGGAAACAGAAAATCACCACGAGTCAAAGTCCACGGAACTGATTGCTGCTGACAAGACCCCCATGGATGCCAAAATCAGAGAAGTTCCAGGAGAATCAGGATTTGGTCTCCCAGTGTCTCCAGGACGATTATCCCCTACAGAGGAAGGACGGCGATTTGACCAGGAGACTCGGCAGACACCACCTGGACCTGTAGTTGGACACATCAGCTCAGGAGCCACTGAGAGACAGCCTTACCTCCACAGGATGCTTGCCAAATGGGCTGGACTTCATACAGTCCTGAGAACACGAGACAGCAAAATCCATGCCCAGCCCCCAGGACAAGGATGGCCAGAGCTGACGCGGGCACGGGCAACCAGGGGACTGGGTGTCTGGATGCAGTGAGGGAGGATGAGGGAGACGGCAGGGCGCGGTAGGAACCCCTGGGCCAGCGGGCTCCAGGCAGCGGAGGCGGCCTGTTGGTGATCGGTCAGCCAGTTACTGTGCCCTTTACCTTGAGGATGGGACACAGGTCCTCTGGCGTCTCCTTGGACTCCCTGATGCCTCTGAGAAAGGCACAGCGCCCCAGTGCCCGCCGGAGGTGAGGTGGGAGCCAGGTGGGAGCAGTCAGTGCCCCTCACGAGCACTGCAGATGGCCGGCGGCCATGGCTCTCTAAGGCCCGCTTGGTGGATGCTGAGCCCTGCCCTCAGGGAGCGCTGGCCCCTCGGGTCCCTGGGCCCTGACAGTCCCACTGAGGCTCGGCTCCATTTCTGCAAATGGCTGCCTCCCACAGGAGAGCTCGGGGAGAGCTCCGGGCCGGGGTCAGACAGCAGCGTTGGCTCCTGTCAACAAAGAGTCAAACTCTGTAAAATGTGGGGAGATTCATTCTGAGCCCAAGACAAGTGACCGTGGGCCATGACCCAGCCCTCAGGAGGGCCTGAGGACATGTGTCCAGGGTGGTCAGAGAGTAGCTTGCTTTTATGCATTTTAGGGAGAATGAGACTTCAGGCAATACATTTAAGAAATATGCTGGTTCGGCTCAGAAAGGCAGGGCAATGCAAAGCAGTCAGGGGAGCAGAACTCTCAGGTTATAGGAAGATTTAAAAACTTTCCGGTGGACAATTGGTTACATTTATCTAAAGACCTGGGATCAATAATAGAAAGGAATGCCTGAGTTCAGATCCAGGATCCTGGAAACCCAGGTTCTTATTTGTGGAGGAGGCCTTCAGGTAGCAGCTTCAGAGGGCTGTGAAATGTTTCTCATCAGACTTCAGGTCTGTGTGGACGTTAATGCTGGAAAGGTAGAACGAGGCATGTCTGACCCCCGTTCCCGTCATGGCTGGAAACCACCTCTCGGGTTACATTTTAAGAGGGCTCTGGTGAGGACGAGGTCCACTCAGATGGTTGGGAACCTTAGTGTTTTATTTTTGGCTTACGCTCTGTTGGTGGGTGATGACGAGTGTCAGGCATGGCCCCTTGCAACGTGAGGGAAGGCAGCAGGGCCTGTGGCCAGGGCTGGTGGGAGCCCTACCAGACATTCCATGGAAACACCTGGTGGAGGAGGCTCTCAGCAAATGCCCGCAGTCCCTGCACCCGGCTGGCACATCTCCACGAGCGCGCCTCCTCCACACACTCATCGTGGGCAGGTTTGGTCATCACTGACGGGCTGCTCTGCCTCTCCTCTCCTCTGGCTCGGGACCTTCAGTATCCCGACAGGAAGGAATGCGGTACAAGTGCATCCCAAGACGCACGCTGCAGGTCACCCCAAGGCCTCACAGACCCCAGTCACCCCGGGATGGATCCCTCCCCAGGTTGTGACCTTGCTCCCCTCCTGCTGGAAACCTTCTCCAGACACAAGCCCCTCAGGTGGCAGGGCTCATCTTGTCCTGGAGGCTGCCTTCCCCTCCCCTGATGCTCCAGACCCCTCCAGGTCACCTGGAGATGGATGCAGAGAAGCTGCCCAGCTCCCCATGTCCAGGGTCACCTCACTGCCGGGACCCCCTCCAGTGGGCTTGCACCCCCCTGCCACCCCATTCTGATCCCGGCTCTGCTGAGGCCATCCTGCTGCCTGCCAGGACCAGGTGCCAGGGCAGGTTGCTGCTGGATGGGCTTCCTTGCTGGGTTACCTGCTCCGATGGGGAGAAAGGTCCTCCTTACACCGCACTGACAATGGCCTTGGAAATGTTCCCCTTGCGGCCCTGTAGGTGTGTGATGGGCCCTCCAGGTGTGTGACGGGCCCTCCAGGTGTGTGATGAGTCCTGCAGGTGTGTGCTGGACCCTCCAGGTGTGTGACGGGCTCTGCAGGTGTGTGACAAGTCCTCCAGGTGTGTGATGGGCCCTCCAGGTGTGTGACAAGTCCTCCAGGTGTGTGATGGATCCTCCAGGTGTGACAAGTCCTCCAGGTGTGTGATGGGCCCTCCAGGTGTGTGACAAGTCCTCCAGGTGTGTGATGGGCCCTCCAGGTGTGTGACAAGTCCTCCAGGTGTGTGATGGGCCCTCCAGGTGTGTGACAAGTCCTCCAGGTGTGTGATGGGCCCTCCAGGTGTGTGACAAGTCCTCCAGGTGTGTGATGGATCCTCCAGGTGTGACAAGTCCTCCAGGTGTGTGATGGGCCCTCCAGGTGTGTGACAAGTCCTCCAGGTGTGTGATGGGCCCTCCAGGTGTGTGACAAGTCCTCCAGGTGTGTGATGGGCCCTCCAGGTGTGTGACAAGTCCTCCAGGTGTGTGATGGATCCTCCAGGTGTGACAAGTCCTCCAGGTGTGTGATGAGTCCTCCAGGTGTGTGACGGGCCCTCCAGGTGTGTGACGGGCTCTGCAGGTGTGCGAAGGACCCTCCAGGTGTGTGTCAGGCTCTCCAGTTGTGCGTGGGCCGTTCCGGGTTTCATGGGCCCTCGGATGTGTGATGAGGCATCTTCCCGGGAACAGCAGGCAGGTTACTTTGTGCCCTCTCCCAGGCCACACCACATGGCTTGTGGTCCACTGAAACCATCAGGTCTTCTCCCAGCACTTTAAGAGGCCAAGACAGGCGGATCACGAGGTCAGGAGATAGAGACCATCCTGGCTAACATGGAGAAACCCCATCTCTACTAAAAATACAAAAAACTAGTCAGGTGTGATGGTGGGCCCCTGCAGTCCCAGCTACTCAGGAGGCTGAGGCAGGAGAATGGCGTGAACCCTGGAGGCAGAGATTGCAGTGAGCCGAGACTGCGCCACTGCACTCAGCCTGGGCGACAGAGCGAGAATCTGAGAAAGAAAGAAAGAAAGAAAGAAAGAAAGAAAGAAAGAGAGAGAGAGAGAGAGAAAGAAAGAAAGAAGAAAGAAAGAAAGAAAGAAAGAAAGAAAGAAAGAAAGAAAGAAAGAAAGAAAGAAAGAAAGAAAGGAAAGAAAAACAAACCAAGTCTTCATCTGAGCTACTCCCAAGTCAAGGCCCTTAATACTGTGCTCTAGTAAACGAAAATGTAGCTCATTTTGTTCCTCCCTTGGGAGGCGTCGAATCGTCAGTCTGTTTCTCTACATATTGACCCTTTTGTTCAGATTGTGACAAGATCTGGCCATTGCCAGTCTTATCCAGGCCATGTGACAGGAGGTCAGCCAGGGGAACCACCTTGAGGTCAGTGCATGTTTAGAGTCCAGTGCTCTGTGGGCTGGAGTGCAGGGCAGTAAACCCACCGCCGCCCGTTCACTGTGATTTAGGGTCCAGTTCACCGCACTGTGGGCTGGAGTGCAGGGCAGTAAACCCACCGCTGCCCGTTCACCGTGAGTGAATGCCGCGTTTAAAACGCTAACCGAATTTGGCGTTCTTGCTGACACATTTTTATTGCTATTGTACGAGGTATCAGTGCAGAACGGGTTTGGATTGGTGACGGCTTTATTTGCGCCCCGCTGTGTCAAGCTCCCCAGCGGAGACCCTCACCTAGCACTGTACTCCCCACCGGCCAATTGGACCAACGTCGCGTGGAGGAAGAACTTGATGAAAGCTCATCTTGAGAAGCACACGCACCCCTCTAACTCACGTAACAGGACCTATGTGGCATGTGGTTGGAACAGGGTTTCCCAGGACCCTCGGGGGGACCAGTCCCCCTCTGTGGTGGGGCATCCTGGGAACTGAAGGGCGTCCTGCAGGCTCTGCACGCGGCACACAGGAATGCCAGCCACACACACACTTGACACACAATGCTGGCGCAGGAGGACCCAGGCCAGGAGGCTGTGTGGGTCGTCAGCCGGGTGAGGTGGTCAGCTGTGTCAGGTAGTAGCTAGGCCAGCACAAATATCCCAGTGTGCTGTGGGTGGCAGCTGCTGGTCCAGGGAGGACCCCAGGGTGAAAGGAGGGCACTGGGGTGGGAGCAGAACGGGGCCGCAGAGGACGGAGAGCCTGTCCCTGTGCCCTATGGCATCGTCAGGCCACGCTGGCTGTTGGCATCCAGGCCATTGGGTCTCCTGGGTCCTCCCCTCCACCCTGGAACAGTAGAGGGGTCCGAAGCCTGGTCTGACTGCTCGCTGGCCGAGGAGGAAACCTGCGCCCGGCAGCTCTCTGAGGGTCTCACAGTTGGGGAACAGCAAAGCCACAGCAGAGCTGGGGCTCCTGGCTGCCCTTTGGAGCCCCACAGCGGCGATAGGAGAGGAAGGCCTGGCACCCTTGGGGCCGACCGGCAGGTGCGTGGGCCGAAGGCACCCGTGGTTACTGCTGGGGCTGTCTCTTCCCTCTCTCTGGCTGTGGCCAGCACTGCAGGCCAAGATGCTCTGGGAGAGAGGGGCCAGCCACAGACCCGGGGGCTGTCGTCAGCCTGGCAGCACTACAGAAGGTGAGGTGGAGCGGGAAGCCTGAAGATTCCTGAAGGGGCCTTTGGCCCTGGAAAAGGCACATCAGAGCTGCGTGCTTGGAGGAAACGCTGTATATAAAATTTGGTTCCTCAATGCTGCTGGAATCTTCCACACCGTGGCTCCAGGACAAGCGTCGGGGCAGGTTACTTACGGGGAAGGGGGTTGGGGGAGGCTGGAGCAACTGGGAGTAAAATACTGGCTGCTGCCAGGGCAGGAGGGCGGACCAACCTCAAAGGGCCCAAAAGACCCAGAACCCGCTCCAGATGGGCAGGGCAGCCAGGAGTAGGTCACTGCTGCCGTCTGCTGTCGGAAGCAGGAGTTTCATTCTGCCCACGTGGCCTCCAAGTTCCAGCAGAAGACAGCTCCTCAGGAAGCAGGGAGCTCAGGGCCTGATGGGGCCATTAGGCCTTTTTATTTACCTGAAATGATGGCCCAAGGCTGGGTGAGGCTTCACAGATGTGAGAAGCAGCTGGCATCACAGTGGGTGGAGCGGGGAGCTGGCAGCAAGGCTTGGTTGGTTCTTGGCCCCACCTGTGCAGCTTCTGCGGCCCCGGGTGTCCATTTCCACCTCCCGAGATTCCTTGGGCCCAGGCCTGTAGTGGACACAAGCAGGTCCCGGACACACAGCCAAGCAGATGCGCAGCCATGTAGACAAGGAGCCCAGGAAGCACACAGGCTGACCCCGTGACACTTCCCCCCAGACACTCACTCAGGGGTCCACACCCACCATGGCCCATCAGCCAGGCCATTGGGAGGATGACAGCATATCCATGGGATTGGGGGTCAGCAGTGCTTTCCCGACCCCTCCTCCATGATTCTGGCCTGCCGAGCACTGACTGCCCTCTCTAGGAGCCCATGTCCAGCCAGGGTGCTGCCCCAGCGCCCATCGGGGCCATGGAGCGGGGCTCAGGCTGACCCATGAAAAGCCCACGTCCTGCCACAGGGACTCAGGGGACTTCTCATCGTTCCCAAGAGATGGTGTGGAGTTCTCAAAAACCTGCCTGAGCACACATTTATATCTGGCAATTTTTTAAAAAACTAACTACTGAGGAGTCACATAGACATGACTCAGCATGAAAGGAACCAGCCCCAGAAGAGCCCACAGCACCGGTTCAAGACCAGGCAAAACTAGCAGAAGGGACCAACGTCTGCCTGGCACCTGCCTCCTGGGACTGAAGCCCAGTGACTGGGGAGGCACAAAGAGGAAACTTCTATTTATTGTTCTTGACATCAAAAATGTTAAATTACTTATGAGTGGCTTTGACCAAAACAAGTGGTGGACATATACTCGGAAAGCTACATGAGAAAGTTAACCAGGAGGCCCTGGGCTGAGGCGGCTTCAGTGCCTGGGACCCTGTGTGAGCACACCGAAGCCCACTGGGAACTGGGCCACGAAACTGACACTGCCCAGAAACTGCCAAACCAGCCTCTCACCAGGGACTTCCTTTTAACCAGATGTCTTGTCTTTGTCCCGCTTCTGCAGACACTTAGAAAAGAGCTCCGCCCCTCAACCTCAGTGGAGCGCTGAACCTCACGCTGAACCTCACACGTTCTGGTACTGCTCAGTTCATGAATTGCTGAACGCTCCAACAGACCCCTTTGAATCTCAGTGTGCATGAGCTTATCACCTAAAACTACAAAACGCTACTGAGATAAATCGAAGGAGACCTGAATAAATTAAGAGATTTGTATTGTGGTATAATAAAAAATACATCTGGTCTTTGTCCCCTGTTCCAGGGACAGAACTCCTTAAATCTTTGGAATTTCCTGATAGGGGTGTCTGATTTCATAACAACTCTTTTTCACCACATTTGTTTACCCTAATGAGGTGACTCTTGGGGGACCCCAAGGTAGCTTTAGGGTGGGAGCTTGTTGCCAGAGGAACCAACCATGTAATTAGAGAGGAACTTCCAGCCCCCCTCACCGCCCCCACTCCTGGGAGGGGCCAGAGATTGAGTTTGTGTTCAATCACCAATGACCAATGACTTAATCAATCATACCTGTGTAATGAGGCCTAGATAAAAACTTTTGGGCATCAGGGTTGGGGAGCCCCCAGGCTGGGGAGCCCCCACGGTGCTCAGAGATCAGTGCCCACCTCCCCACTCTCTTCACTGAGCTGTTCATGGGTTTCCTTCATAATAAGCATGATTGTACGTAAAGCACTTTCCTGAGCCCTGGGAGGTGTTCTAGTGAATCTGAGGGGATGTAAAGTTCCCCAAATCTGCAGTTGTCAGGAGTGAGTGTGGGTTGCCTGGGTACCCATGTACGGCTGTCATCAGAAGTAGGGGCAGAGTCTTGTGGGACAGAGCCCTTCACCTTCAGGGTCTGTGACACTCCAGGTCGTCAGTGTCAGAAGAGTGTGTGTGACTCCCCAAAACAGGAAGGGCCTTTGAGATGAAGACGATTAAGAAGAAACAGGTCCAGGAGTGCTCTCCGGATTCCTCTTTTTGCCTAAAGCAGGGCATAGATTTACAAAGACAAAGGGCATTCTGTCCCCTCTTGCAGGGAGAACAAAGGCTAAGCCCTGAAGACAGTGTCAGGCCCTCACACCCGCAGATGCCCCGACAAGCTGTGCTCCCAGCCTCTGCCAGTCCTGTGCCTGGCCCCAAGCTGCCCACAGAGGGACCTCGGTGCTCCCATCTGTGGAGTGGGGTCATCACTCATGTCTCAGGCACCTTGGTGCTCCCATCGCCCCCTGCCTTGGGGACCTTGGTGCTCCCATCTGTAGAGTGGGGTCATCATTCTTGCTTGAGGGACCTCAGTGCAACCATCTGTAGAGTGGGGTCCTCACTCCCTGCCTCAAAGACCTCAGTGCTCCCATCTGGAGAATACGGTCATCACCCCCACCTCGGGGACCTCAGTGCTTCCATCTGTAGAGTGGGGTCCTCGCCCCCTGCCTCGGGCACCTCGGTGCTCCCATCTGTAGAGTGGGGTCATCACTCTTGCCTGAGGGACCTCAATGCACCCATCTGTAGAGTGGGGTCATCACCCCCTGCCTCAGAGACCTCGGTGCTCCCATCTGGAGAATATGGTCATCACCCCCACCTTGGGGACCTCACTGCTCCCATCTGTAGAGTGGGGTCCTCACCCCCTGCCTTGGGAACCTCGGTGCTCCCATCTGTAGAGTGGGGTCCTCGCCCCCTGCCTCGGGCACCTCGGTGCTCCCATCTGTAGAGTGGGGTCATCACTCTTGCCTGAGGGACCTCAATGCACCCATCTGTAGAGTGGGGTCATCACCCCCTGCCTCAGAGACCTCGGTGCTCCCATCTGGAGAATATGGTCATCACCCCCACCTTGGGGACCTCACTGCTCCCATCTGTAGAGTGGGGTCCTCACCCCCTGCCTTGGGCACCTCGGTGCTCCCATCTGTAGAGTGGGGTCATCACCCCCTGCCTGCCCCTCAAGGTGTTCAGGGCCAGAAGGGCTGTGTCCTGCCTCTCCCCAGAGTGGCCTGGCTTCTGTCCCTGAGGAGTTGCTTTCACATTGCCCTTTTCAGACCTGGACACAGCATTGCAACACGGAGAGTTGACCTCCCAGCCCAGACCAGCCCAGGTGCCTCTGCCCCTGTGTGCACCAGGGCTGGCCCCGCCTCTCCTGCAGGGCCCTGGGCAGCTTTCTCCCACAGCTGGGTCTGGGGTTCAGCAGGAGCCGGCGCCCAGGGGAGACACAGGAGAGACTCCCTCCCGCTCCAGGGCACGGGAGTCCTGCCGTCTCTGGTGAACCTTGCACCCACCACAGCCTTCAGAACCAGAGCCAGAGAGAAGACCCTGTCTCCCGGCAGAGCCACCCTTCCCCGGGGCCCCGGGATGTCCGTGGCGCTGGCGAGGCTTGGGAAGGCCGGGCGTTCAGAGGAACTCGGGATGTCCACGGCTGAGGGTTTTGTGGGGTCACGTGGGAAGGACACAGGGGAATTTCCACACCATTCACAGCACAGGGTTTCCCATGGGGGCTCTCTAGGCTGAGGCCTGTGGGGCCCTCATGGGCGTGTGGTCCTGGTGTGGGGAGGCCCAGCCTCTATGAGGTGATCATCATAAGGGACGTAGTGACAGCCCCGTCCCCCTCCAGCGAATGCTCAGCTGGGGAGGAGGTATGGAAATCCTGCCTTCCTTGCTTGGATCTCGGGTGTCTGTGGTTTCCAGGACGGAAACAGGCAGCCTGAGCCCTCAGCACCGGGGCCCCCACGGGGTGGTGCTGTTGGCCAGGGAGGAAAGAAGGGCAAGGTCGTCCCTGCGGGCCGGGCTGGAGCCGGGCGGGGCCTTTGCTTGTGGGAGGCGCCCGACGTCCCTTCGTGGACTGCGTGTGGATGGAACTGCTTTGGCCTCGGCTCTGCCCGGCCACACAGTGCCAGCACCACTCCCCCCCGCCGCCACCAACAGCACTGCCCACTCGGGGGAGATCCCGGCCGGGTTTCCAGACCTCAAGACTGAAAGGCATAGAGGGGCCCAGCCAGGCCCAGGCCCCAGCGCCTGCCCCAAGGCTGCACTCGCTCCCCGCCCCCCATGCCCTGCTCCCCAAGCCTCCTCCAGGCCCCAGCGCCTGCCCCAAGGCTGCATTCATCCCCCTGCTCCTCCTCCAGGCCCCACTGTAGTCACTCACAGGCGTCGCCAGGCCATGGCGCTGCGGCCCTCCCATTTCAAAGTGGTTGCCTTTTTTGCGAAACTCCACGTAGAGATGTGCTGAACTCGACTGTCTACGACGCCCAGAGGGAACGGGGCTCCAAGAGGCTGGGGACCGGCGGCACCTGCTGCTCTGTGTTCAGCACTCCGGACAGGGCCTGGCAGGGGCCACAGTGCAACGCGACCCCACTCTCGTAAGACAACCTATGCCTCTCTCCGTATATGGCACCATCTATATGCACAGGGATTGAATACATGGTCCCGTGTGTGGGCATCTAAACCCAGACAGAGAAAACTCTGGAAAGAACACACGATTGTTCCGACAGCCCCCAAGGAACCAGAACGTTGAACTGAGACTCGCCCTTTCCCACATCACCTGCAGTGAAAACACACAGAACACTTGGCAGGGGTGGGGGTGACACGGCAGGGAAGAGGTGGCCAGTGGCACGGACACAGGTGTTTGGAGCCCGGCAGGGACACAGCCAAGGTGTAGCTGGCGTGGCTGGAGGAACTGCGCCGGCTCAGGGTCTGTGCTGCTGTGTGGCCGCCGCTCCCGCCTGCCCAGGGCCGCTGTGTGGCCACCCCTCCGCCTGCCCAGGGCCGCTGTGTGGCCGCCGCTCCCGCCTGCCCAGGGCCGCTGTGTGGCTGCCGCTCCCGCCTGCCCAGGGCCGCTGTGTGGCCGCCGCTCCCGCCTGCTCAGGGCTGGGTTCCAAGGGGGCCACCTCGGAGGTGCAGGCACCATGTGGGGCTGGGCCATCTCCCCCAGCCTGGGAGGGCTCTGACAGCCTCGCTCACTTACTGGAATCTGCACAGGTCAGGGGCCAGTGGGGACTGAGGATAAAACTGAGGCAGACTGGGCCTGGGGCAACGGGGGCCACCACCCCAGGACCACTGGCCGGCCCTAGAAAGCCCAGGCGGCATCTGTGCCCCATAGGACTGAAGGCCAAGGGCAGCGTCCTTCTAGGGGGAGCCTGGGCTTCCACCCCTCCCTGGATGTCACCACAGCTGATTTGCTGAGCTCAGGGCTGTGCATCTACAGGGGGTTCCTGCCCTGGGCCCCTGCCTGGTCCACTCCATCGACCCCAGCGCTGCTGCCTGAGCCTCTCAGCCCAACGGGCCGGGCAGCAGCAGGAACACGCTCATGCTGGGCGGGGCGGCGGGGCAGAGGCAGCCCCCGGCCTCAGCAGCATCAACCACGTGGCAGGAGCTGCTCTCGGGCTCTGCGGCGCGTAGACCTGTTTCCTCAGGGATGTCTCCTGCTCCCCACAGTCTCCAAAGCCCAGCCTCGTCCCCTCCACTAAGACGGGGCTTGGCCTCACCGCTGACCATCCTGGACGCTGACTGCCGCTGCCAGGACCCTCTGAGTTCAGCGCCCACTGAGCCCTTCCCCAGACCCCCGGCCTGGCACAAGGCAGCCCCATTCCTTGGGTGTGTGGCTGCTGAGTGCCCTGAACAGCTCGCTCGGGACCTGCCCGCTTCTCTGATGGGAGTTGGGGCCCAAGCCAGGTGGCCACTCACATCCCACAGGGCGTGTGCCTGCGCCACGGAAATCTCCCTGAGGTAGGAAGGTGTGAGCCAGGCCTGGCCGCCCTGGAGTGCCCAGAATCAAGGCTCAGAGGAGCAGCACGTGGAACTTTACCCCCCGTGGCAACAATCACCTCTCCGGGGTCCCAGGAGTCAGCCCTTCCCACCCCAGCACTGGCCCTGATCAGCTCTTCCCCCGGACACTGTGACCCCCACCCCACCAGACAGTGAAGGAGGAACAGAATTACCCTGGGTTTGAGGAAATGAGCTCAGAGCCCAACAGAAGGCAAAGGCGCGTCTGACTCTGGAAGGCTCACATTCTAACAGCTAAGCCACTGCCAAGCTCCTGTGTCTGCAGAGCCATGGGACCTCCCTGTCCTAGAGGTGGCTGCCGCCAGCATACCCAGAATGAGGCCAGCCACACGCGGCGACAGGACGAATACACGGGTGGACAGACTCATGCCGATGTTTGCTCTGTGGGGGAGGGTGCTGGGAGCCACCCGGCAGAGCTGCCGCCTCCTGCCCCACCAAGGGGACAAACCAACCGTATTTCCGGAAGCTTCTCTGGGTGCCTTTCTGGTTGGCACAGTTGGAGGCCGCAACTGAGTCACACCCAACTGCCCGGCAGCCTGTCCAGGACAGCCCGTCCAGGGCCCATTTCCGGTTGTCTGGGAAATGATGACTCTGGGGCCGATGGGCACTTATCTTCTGTGGTGTCTTTCAGTCAAGGGTGGGTGCTGGCTTTGGGGGGTCCCCTTTCTCTCTGCAGCCTGGATGGTGCCCCACTTTGATCAGAGGAAACTACCCAGTGGGACAAGCTCTGCGTGGCATGCGGCTCCCTGAAAAGGGCCCCTCCCTCCCTGGCTGAGTGATGGGCAGAGCTCACCCTCTGGGAGCCTCTGCATTATCATGTGCACCACAGGGACGGCCCCCATGTGTCTCCACGGGAATAGACAGTGCACACAGCATCTCCGCCTGTGGCCTCTGACTGCCTTAGAGACACCCGGATCAGAGATGCTGCAGGTCACCTGCCCGTGCCCTCCTGTGCACATGTGTGGTATGTACGAGCATGTATGTGCTGTGTACATATGAATATGCACGTGTGCGTGTCTGAACGAGAGGGCTCTGGGTGGATTCTGGTGAAACTCGTCTTACAGGCATGTCCTGGAGCCCCCCACACCCCTAGGAAGACTCCCTCTCCTCCTCTGAGTGGGGAGCATGTGGCTTCCCTCCAGGGACAGATCCTAGTGCCAGCACCACAGTCTCTGTTGCTCTCGCAGTCACAGCCGGGGCTCAGCTGCGTCCACCGTGCTCCTGGCTCCTGCAGGGACTTTGGTGACACAGCAGATGCTCCATCCCTGCCCTGCACCTCTCACTCCTGCCTGGTGGGGGTGCTTCCAGGAGCTGCAGCTCACACGAGGCCCACAAAGGGCTGAGCCTCCCCTGCTGTGCCCCAGGGGCCTCTGTCCCCACCCAACAAGCCACTGAGCAAGAGGCCAGGGCAGGAAGGGGCTGGAGTCCTCCAGCTGGTGGAGACGAGGAGCAGCTGGTGGAGACGAGGAGCATCCGGTGGAGATGAGGAGCATCCGGTGGAGATGAGGAGCATCTCGTGGGGAGGAGGAGCATCTGGCAGAGACGAGGAGCATCTGGCGGAGACGAGGAGGAGCATCTGGCGGAGACGAGGAGGAGGATCTGGCGGAGACGAGGAGGAGGATCTGGCGGAGACGAGGAGGAGGATCTGGCAGAGAGGAGGAGTAGGATCTGGCGGAGAGGAGGAGTAGGATCTGGCGGAGAGGAGGAGCATCCGGCGGGGATGAGGAGCATCCAGTGGGGATGAGGAGCAGCTGGTGGAGAGGAGCAGCAGCTGGTGGAGACGAGGAGCATCCGGTGGAGATGAGGAGCATCTCGAGGAGAGGAGGAGCATCTGGTGGAGAGGAGGAGCATCCCGTGGAGACGAGGAGCATCCCGTGGAGACGAGGAGCATCTGGCGGAGACGAGGAGCATCTGGCGGAGAGGAGGAGTAGTATCTGGCGGAGAGGAGTAGTATCTGGCAGAGAGGAGTAGTATCTGGTGGAGAGGAGGAGTAGTATCTGGTGGAGAGGAGGAGCATCCGGCGGAGAGGAGGAGCATCCGGCGGAGACGAGGAGCATCCGGCGGTGACGAGGAGCATCCGGCGGAGATGAGGAGCA
Source organism: Homo sapiens (assembly GCF_000001405.40). Lineage (NCBI taxonomy): Eukaryota > Metazoa > Chordata > Mammalia > Primates > Hominidae > Homo > Homo sapiens. The sequence goes on from NC_000013.11 coordinate 113,955,444, forward strand.
TCCGGTGGAGAGGAGGAGCATCTCGAGGAGCGGAGGAGCATCTGGCGGAGACGAGGAGCATCTCGTGGAGCGGAGGAGCATCTGGCGGAGACGAGGAGCATCTCGTGGAGAGGAGGAGCATCTCGTGGAGAGGAGGAGCATCTCGTGGAGCGGAGGAGCATCTGGCAGAGACGAGGAGTAGTGTCTGGCGGAGACGAGGAGTAGTGTCTGGCAGAGACAAGGAGTAGTGTCTGGCAGAGACGAGGAGTAGTGTCTGGCGGAGAGGAGGAGTAGTGTCTGGCAGAGACGAGGAGTAGTGTCTGGCAGAGAGGAGGAGCATCCGGCGGAGACGAGGAGCAGCCGGCGGAGACGAGGAGCAGCCGGCGGAGACGAGGAGCAGCCGGTGGAGACGAGGAGCATCTCGAGGAGAGGAGGAGCATCTCGAGGAGAGGAGGAGCATCCGGTGGAGAGGAGGAGCATCTCGCAGAGAGGAGGAGCATCTCGCGGAGACGAGGAGCATCTGGCGGAGACGAGGAGGAGCATCTGGCGGAGACGAGGAGTAGGATCTGGCAGAGAGGAGGAGTAGGATCTGGCGGAGAGGAGGAGTAGGATCTGGCAGAGAGGAGTAGGATCTGGCGGAGAGGAGGAGTAGGATCTGGCGGAGAGGTGGAGTAGTATCTGGCGGAGAGGAGGAGTAGGATCTGGCGGAGAGGAGGAGTAGTATTTGGCGAAGAGGAGGAGCATCCGGCGGAGACAAGGAGCATCCGGTGGAGACGAGGAGCACCCGGTGGAGACGAGGAGCATCTCGAGGAGACGAGGAGCATCTCGACGAGAGGAGGAACATCCGGTGGAGAGGAGGAGCATCTGGTGGAGACGAGGAGCATCTGGTGGAGAGGAGGAGTAGTATCTGGTGGAGAGGAGTAGTATCTGGTGGAGAGGAGGAGCATCTGGTGGAGAGGAGGAGCATCTGGTGGAGAGGAGGAGCATCTGGTGGAGAGGAGGAGCATCTTCCCGTGCTTGTTTATTGTGTTTGTTGAAGGTCACGTCATCACTCACCCAGTGGGCAGTGGGTTTCAGGCGTGGCTCACACCTGGTGTGGTCATCGGCACCCCAGCGTTGCTCAGAGCTGGCGGGATCTTTAGCCCAAAGGCGCAGTCTGTGCTCTCGCTCCTTCCAGGCCTGGCCAGTCCCACAAGAAGAAAACAGAAACCTCAGTGCCTGGCAGAGAAGGCTCTTGGGCGGCAAGTAGGTGGCCGGATCGCCCTCCGTCCCGCCTCCTGTGCCCCCAGCCCCTCTGCACCCCGTCTCCTTCCTCTTCTTCGCCAAGCTCTGAGCACCCTCTCCGGGGCGCTAGGTGCTCTCCTTTGCCCTCTTCCTGGTGGAGTACGGGATGCAGCACACCCAGCTGGTCTGCATCCTGCAGGGCGAGAGGAGGGCAGGTGGGTGAGAAAGGGTCCTGGGCCAGCACTGTGGCCACAGGCACCCCGAGAGCAGCACCCCCAACCTGAAGTGCACTGGGAGGTCTGCCCTGCACTTGTGTATGCACCCCCTTTCATCAAGTGCACTGGGGAGTCTCCCCTGTACCTGCATATGCACCCCCGTTCATCAAGTGCACTGGGGGGTCTCCCCTGTACCTGCATATGCTCCCATTTCATCAAGCACACTGGGGGGGTCTCCCCTGCACCTGCATATGCATCCCCTTTTATCAAGCACACTGGGGGGTCTCCCCGCACCTCTGCATGCAACCCCTTTCATCAAGCGCACTGGGGGGTCTCCCCTGCACTCTGCCTGCACCCCCTTTCATCAAGCGCACTGGGGGTCTCCCCTGCACTCTGCATGCACCTCCTTTCATCAAGCACACTGGGGGGTCTCCCCTGCACTCTGCACCCCCTTTCATCAAGCACACTGGGGGATCTCCCCTGCACCTCTGCATGCACCCCCTTTCATCAAGCACACTGGGGGGTCTCCCCCGCACTCTGCCTGCACCCCCTTTCATCAAGTGCACTGGGGGGTCTCCCCTGCACTCTGCCTGCACCCCCTTTCATCAAGCACACTGGGGGTCTCCCCTGCACTCCACATGCACCCCCTTTCATCAAGCACACTGGGGGTCTCCCCTGCACTCTGCCTGCACCCCCTTTCATCAAGCGCACTGGGGGGTCTCCCCTGCACTCTGCCTGCACCCCCTTTCATCAAGCACACTGGGGGTCTCCCCTGCACTCTGCCTGCACCCCCTTTCATCAAGCACACTGGGGGTCTCCTCTGCACTCCACATGTACCCCCTTTCATCAAGCACACTGGGGGTCTCCCCTGCACTCTGCCTGTACCCCCTTTCATCAAGCGCACTGGGAGTTCTCCCCTGCACTCTGCCTGCACCCCCTTTCATCAAGCACACTGGTGGGTCTCCCCTGCACTCTGTATTCACCCCCTTTCATCAAGCGCACTGGGGGTCTCCCCTGCACTCCATATGCACCCCCTTTCATCAAGCACACTGGGGTCTCCCCTGCACTCTGTATGCACCCCCTTTCATCAAGTGCACTGGGGGGGTCTCCCCTGCACTCTGCCTGCACCCCCTTTCATCAAGCACACTGGGGGATCTCCCCTACACTCTGCCTGCACCCCTTTCATCAAGTGCACCGGGGGGGTCTCCCCTGCACTCTGTATGCACCCCCTTTCATCAAGCACACTGGGGGTCTCCCCTGCACTCCACATGCACCCCCTTTCATCAAGCGCACTGGGGGGTCTCCCCTGCACTCTGCCTGCACCCCCTTTCATCAAGTGCACTGGGGGTCTCCCCTGCACTCCACATGCACCCCCTTTCATCAAGTGCACTGGGGGTCTCCCCTGCACTCTGCATGCACCCCATTTCATCAAGCCTTAGGGGCTGTGGTGAGTGGCGGATGAGAAGCCCAGTTTGCTGGTTTCTGCTTGAGCCCTGACTGGGAGGACATGCAGGTCTCCAGAAGGATGCCTGAAGACAAAACAGCAAAAAGCACAAGGGCCCTGCCTCCGTCCCCACCTGGAGCCACTATGTTCTTAAAAGATCAGTGACCTGGGTCCGTGCCTTTTCCTGCACACGACGTCTGCCGCGGTTCGTGATTACGCCTCTGTAATCTACAGCCAAACATGCCCTCGCACTCAAACCTTGATGTGATTCTGCATGCGCCCAGCCCCCGCCGCCTGTCCAGGAACCGTGAACAGAAACACGGCGTGGGGCAATGGACAGACGGCTCGCGGGCGACAGCCTCAGTGCACAGTCCTCACTAAGACTTCCACGTAAAACAAACTCTTGAAAAGCTTTTTTTTCCTTAATTGGCAATCATCGTGCCCATGAAGGGACTCCTAGCGGACTGCCCAGGGACACTGCAGGGACCTGGCACCTTGACCCCAGCACAGGCCCTTGGGGCCTCTCTGGCCCCTGCACAGCTGCACGTGGTGGGGTCTCTCCTGGGGTCTCTCTGGGTCCTCTCCTGGGGCTGTGCTAGGGCTCAGACCTCCTGCTTGGCTGACAGCCCTGAGTTTTGGAGACTTTTCATTTGTTAAGGAGAAAAATTCTCCTAGTTGAAAGATACTAGGGGCCAGGTGCTGTGACTCATGCTTGTAATCCCAGCACTTGGGAGGTTGAGGCAGGTGGATCACTTGAGCTCAGGAGTTAAAGACCAGCCTGACCAACATAGGGAGATCCCCATCTCTACTAAAATAAAAAATTAGCTGGGCATGATGGCACTTGTGGTCCCAGCTACTTGGGAGGCTGAGGCAGGAGAATCACTTGAGCCCAGGGGGTGGAGGTTGCAGTGAGCTGGGAACACACCACTACACTCCAGCCTGGGTGACAGAGTGAGATCTGCCTCAAAAAAGAAAAGGAAAAGATTCTAGGAAGAAATGGATGTGTGAGGCTGATTGGGTAGAATGTGTGAGGCTGCATGATTGGCTAGGATGTGTGAGGTTGTCTGATTGGGTAGAATGTGTGAGGCTGTCTGATTGGCTAGGATGTGTGAAGCTGTCTGGCCAGGTTGAGCAGGTGCTTCCCCTTTTAATCTGACTCCCAGTGGGAAATGAATCATAACAAAGTGAAACAACAGGCACTGGACAACCAACCTCCAGTCAGTGCCCAGCAGGCGTGTGACACATGGAGCCCTTCTAGATGGGAGGGGTTCATGAAAGGAGATTTAATGCAGAAATGGTCAAAAATGGTGTTCTTAAACATTAAGGCATACCAGGCTTTCTAAGGCTGTCACTGGCCCACTCTTTTGCTTATTTTAAACCAATGAGCAAATTATATCAAGGAAAATTTGGAGCTCAAATGGCAATCTGCGATGATAGAGTTAACATGTGGACTTGTCCAAGTTATCTCTCTTTTTATCCTGAAGCAAAATGACTGGCTATTTTAAAAAGAAGTGTAGGACAAAGCACAAAGTCCAAGCATGTCAGAATGGTCTGTAAAAGTCATGATAAGGTTTATGAAAAGATAATTTTGAAAAGAATTCTGTGTGTAAGTTGGCTGTGATTAAAAGGGAATTATTTATATGTCCTTCTAAAGATTGAGCTTTGGGCCAGGCATGGTGGCTCATGCCTGTAATCCCAGCACTTTGGGAGGCCAAGGCAGGCAGATCATGAGGTCAGGAGATCGAGACCATCCTGGCTAACATGGTGAAACCTTGTCTCTACTAAAAATACAAAAAAAAAAATTAGCCAGACATGGTGGTGGGCGCCTGTAGTCTCAGCTACTTGGGAGCTGAGGCAGGAGAATGGCGTGAACCCAGGAGGCGGAGCTTGCAGTGAGCTGAGATCGTGCCACTGCACTACAGCCTGGGCGACAGAGCGAGACTCTGTCTCAAAAAAAAAGATTGAGCTTTGATATTAAATATACATTAATACAAAACTAAAGATTGGTCCCCTATGTCACCACAAAGTTTCCTTAAAGTACTGGTTTGCTCTTAATGAAATTGCAAGAGGTTTTGATTTTTAACTCTGAAATCATTTCTTTTGAAACTGCTCAGGTCTACATCTCAGAAACTCAGCTTCTGCTGTCCCTTGTCACGTGTGGTTTGCAGGTCGTGCGTGGCTGCCTCAGCTCTTTCTCCCCTTAAGAAGGCCTGGGATAACAACTTTCTCCTTCAAACTTTTTGTCAAGTCCTGCAACTTTTTCCTCCAGTTCTAACTCTGCTGTTTAAGCAACGTTTTCCTTAAGTGCAGCTTCAATTTATACACTTGGCTTTTCTTGCTATGTCTGAATTGTTCAACATAATCAGGCAACTTCTCATGCTGTTACCAACAGCTGTGTGTTCCCCAGCTCAAGGCCCTAGTTTCCTTGTTTACTGTCCTCTGTAATCAAGTGCACACCCACAGCCCTGAAGATGCTCTTCCTGTGTCAGGCGAGGTTCCATCGGATCTGACTTCCAGGTTACCTGCATGGGCTTCCCTCAAGGAGAGGCAATCACACTGCAGGTTTTTCTGTACCTTTTGGTAACTGGCTTAAAAACCAAATATTTTATATTTTATCAAGATAATTTCTCCTTTATCTTTATTAGATTTTGATTACTTAAGACAACTGAGCTTTAAAAGGGTTATGGTTTTTACAGCAATGTAACTTCCTAAATTGCCTGTGAAGTCTTTTGATAATCACTCTGGTTAAATGAGTGACTATTATTTTTAAATGATCTGTAATTCTGTTTTGATTGTTTTGAACCTTTTGACATCTTTTGCAGGTTTCCACAGAATCAAAATCCTACATAAAGTCTTTTCAGATTAAACAATTACATTTGGTAAAACTCTATGGGTAGCATCATCAAATGATAAATGATACTAAATCTTCTTTTAGTTTTAATTGTGAGCATGTTATTGATATAAATGTTCTAAAAATTACATACATTTATATTAATATAATATCAGTCATAATTTTGATAATGTCCAATTGTAAACTATATTTGTATGGGCATGTTATCCGTGTGAATATTCTAAAGATTATGTGAAAATGTATAGAAGCTGGGCAGTCCTGATGTGACACTGTCAGTCATGATTTTGGTTGTTTTCTTACAATGTTATGTGTAATAGAAATAACTGTTTTCTTGTTGGTTAGAAGCTTTCATCAAATTTTAACTGTGGCTGTTCTAAGGTTTTGCATCTGTAGTCATTGTTCTGAAGTATTCTCTAAAAACATTTATAATCAGCTCTAGTCCAAAACTGCTTTTTGTGGAAAGGACTGTAATAAATATGGGTACAAAAAGGTGGGAAATATTAAGAGCACAATTAATGACATAATATACAAAAGTGGTTCCAGTTTTGTTCACTGGTTATCCATTTTTTTTCCAATCTGTAGTTACTGTGATGCTGTGAAGTGTGCAGTGCTCTGTGTGCTCTGTGTGATCTGTGGCTACTCTGGAACTATGAAGTGTGCAGAGCTGTGCGTGATCTGTGGCCCCTCTGATGCTATAAAGTGTGCAGTGCTCTCCATGATCTGTGGCTACTCTGGAACTATGAACTGTGCAGAGCTATGTGTGATCTGTGGCTACTCTGGAACTATGAAGTGTGCAGAGCTCTGCGTGATCTGTGGCCCCTCTGATGCTATGAAGTGTGCAGTGCTCTGCGTGATCTGTGGTTTCCCTGTAACAGTCCTGGGGATGTATTGTGTTGGGCAGGTACAGGAAAAGGCAACACTAGGAAAAAGAAAATCCAGATCATGCTAATTAAAAAAGAGATGGAGGCTGGGTGCGGTGGCTCACGCCTGTAATCCCAGCACATCGGGAGGCTGAGGCAGGTGGATCCTGAGGTCAGGAGATCGAGACCATCCTGGCTAACACGGCGAAACCCTGGCTCTACTAAAAATACAAAAAAAATCTAGCTGGGCGTGGTGGTGGGCGCCTGTAGTCCCAGCTACTCAGGAGGCTGAGGCAGGAGAATGGCGTGAACCTGGGGGGCGGAGCTTGCAGTGAGCCGAGATGGTGCCACTGCACTCCAGCCTGGGCAACAGAGTGAGACTGTGTCTCAAAAACAAAAAAAGAGATGGAGCCTGCCAAAGCATTTTCCAATGAACACGCAAGTGTGCACGTGAGCTGATGCCCATTCATTACAGCCACGGCTGAGGACTCTCGGCCTTCCTGGGCGGGAACCTCCCGGTATTGGGAAATCAGCATTGGGTCTTGTAAATGCAACTGGATGGTGATCCAAAGGGGGAATTTGTGAGATGAGGTAGCAAACCTAAGAAGCCACGTCAGCTCGTTTCTGCTGGCAGCTCTCCCCACTGCACGCCACCAGCAGCCCCACTGGGCAGGTTTTCTGGGATAGCTGAGTCAAGGGGGATGGAGGCTGAGACCAGGAGATTTCGACCCAGGATTGTCCAGCTTGGGGCAGAAAACAGCCATCGAGCTGTGTGCCGAGTGCCAAATCCATCATCAGGAAACGATGAGAAAAATAGAGCTGTACTTGGAAAATACCTGCCCATTTTAAGCCCAGACTCAGGAGTCAAAACAACCCCAATGTCCTAGTGAAAGCTGGTGTGACCTGGTTACGGTAGGAGTCAAAAGAGGCAGAGACTCTGCTGAGTTGGGGCAGAGTGCAATGTTCTCGAGGACTTTCTCTCTCCCTGGAGACATAAAAATCTGAGAGCAGGTAGCGCAGGTAGGGCTGTCATCATCACAGCAGCAATCCGTCAGCAAAGCCAGACCAGTCGGGGGCCGAGGGCTGCAGCTCTCAAAGCTGGCCCTGGGCAAGGATGCCGCTTGGCAGGTACAGCTGCAGCCCCTGTCCTCAGCCTCCCCGCTATCCTCAGCCTCAGCCCGTCCTCAGCCTTGCCCCTGTCCTCAGCCTCGGCCCCTGTCCTCAGCCTCGCCCCTGTCCTCAGCCTCGGCCCTGTCCTCAGCCTCGGCCCCTGTCCTCAGCTTCACCCCTGTCCTCAGCCTCGGTCCCTGTCCTCAGCCCTCGCCCCGTCCTCAGCCTCGGCCCGTCCTCAGCCTCTCCCGTCCTCAGCCTCGCCCCTGTCCTCAGCCTCGCCCCTGTCCTCAGCCTCGGCCCTGTCCTCAGCCTCGGCCCCTGTCCTCAGCTTCACCCCTGTCCTCAGCCTCAGCCCGTCCTCAGCCTCGGCCCCTGTCCTCAGCCTCGCCCCTGTCCTCAGCCTCACCCCTGTCCTCAGCCCTCGCTCCAGTCCTCAGCCTCGCCCCTGTCCTCAGCCTCGGCCCCTGTCCTCAGCCGCAGTCCTTGTCCTCAGCCACAGCCCCCTCTCCTCAGCCTCGCCCGTCCTCAGCCTTGCCCCTGTCCTCAGCCACGGCCCCTGTCCTCAGCCTCAGCTGCAGCCACTGTCCTCAGTGTCGAAAGTCAGGTGCTCCCATGTGCTTTTAAGAGGTGGAAGCTGGGGTGATTTTTAAACATTTCTCTCTGTTGTGCTATTCCACATAATTCCCGTTATTGTAAATGACTGGTTAAAATGTTAATGTAACTGTTGTTTGTTTGTTTGAGATGGAGTTTCGCTCTTGTCACCCAGGCTGGAGTGCAGTGGTGCTATCTCGGTTCACCGCAACCTCCGCCTCCTGGGTTCAAGCGATTCTCCTGCCTCGGCCTCCCTAGTAGCTGGAACTACAGGCACCTGTCACCACGCCCAGCTAATTTTTTGTATTTTGGTAAACACAGGGTTTCACCATGTTGGCCAGGATGGTCTCGATCTCCTGACCTCATGATCTGCCCACCTCAACCTCCCAAAGTGCTGGGATTACAGGCTGAAAGAAGGTTTAGTATCATGTGACTGTTTTATAAAGCCGATAGAACAATTCATCCTTTAAAAAAATCTGTAAGAAATCAAAATACTGATAAACTGTTAATTCTGAGTGGTAGGCATTTGGACAATTGCTTTTTGTATTTTTGTGTGTTGCTTAAAATAAAACACTATAGATCCATGGGCCCCCTTCAATGGGCCAGTGTCTTCTCTCCCCACACCCATCTTCAGGGCCTCGGGCCTCGGGGAGTCTTGGGGCTTCCCTGGACCTACACAGCATCCAGCCTGGGGACACGGATCATCTCTTCGGAGGCTGCCTAGCCCCGGCCCCAGGGCCCGAGGCTTGTTGTGAGAGAAGCCTGCTTGGCTGTGACACCAGCCGTGTATGCACGGCTTCCCACTACCTGCAGGACCCAAGTCTGCAGCTAAAACCTAAACAGGAGAAGTCAGTACCATGCACTTATCACCTCTCCCCCCTCCTTCCTCCCTACTCTCCCTCCTCTTCCCCCTTCTCATCAGGTCCTTTTCCTGGCTGGTGGGTAGGAGACACGGCCTGGTTATGGGGTGAGGTGGGGCATCGTGAAGCTCGTCCCTGAGCCCTTCGAAGGTCCGATGTCCTGTTCCCTGCCCTCAGTCCCTCAGGCTCGGCAGGTGCTGAGCCTCGGCAGTGCCCAGGGAGAAGGGGGGACCGCCTGGGCTCGGCTCTGCCCACCACACACAAGGCATGGTGGGCACACCAGAGACCGTGGTGGGGGGAAAGTCCTCCTACCCCCACCTAGTGTGAGCCCACAAGCATCACTCACTCGTCTTCTGACAGATCTTCCACATCCATCTGGGACGGCTTCTCTTCCTTCTTGGCATCGGTGACCACCTGTGGGGAGTGGAGACATTTAAGGGATGGGAGGTGTCAGCCACGGGCACTGAGGCATAGCCTGTGGACCTGCTGGAGGATCAGGCTAGGGCACAGAGGCTGGATGACCTCCCATCAGACAGGGCTCTCTATTGACTGGACATTTCCAGTTAGGGGAACCTGACCAAGGAACTGCACCCTTGATGAGGCCTGGCTCCTGGACTGAAGACCAGGTCTGGCCTGTCAGCCCAACTGTGCCACTGACTGGCCCTCCTTGAGTCCTTAGAACTCATGTGCCCCAAGAATAGCCTTGTTGGGGGTTAACAACCAGCTCTCTCTGTGGCTCTGAGGGCAAAAGGGAGAGAAGGTACAGTCTGGAAAATAACTGACCCCCAGGAAGGAGCTTAAACTTGCCAAGAAAGAACTTCAATAAACTTCCAGAATGATGACTGTTCACTACAGCAAAGACATGGAGGAACACACCCCAGATGTTAGTGTTGGAAGTGCCCAGACAGGTCATTAAGTCAGCCTCTTCTTCTTACAGATAAGGATGATGATTATGGTGGTGATAATGTTGATGGTGATGACGATGGTGATGATGATGATTATAATGGTGGTGATGATGACGGTGACTATACTGGTGATGGTGGTGATGATGACAGTGATGATGATTGTGACAATGATGATGGTGATTATAATGGTGATGGTGATGATGATGGTGACAATGGTGATGGTGATTATAATGGTGGTGATGATGGTGAAGGTGATGATGGTGATGATGGTGATGGTGATGATGGTGATGGTGATGATGGTAATTATAATGGTGGTGATGATGGTGAAGGTGATGATGGTGATAATGGTGATGGTGATGATGGTGATGGTGGTGATGATGGTGATGGTGATGATGGTGGTAATGGTGATGGTGATGATGGCGATGGTGATGGTGACAATGATGATGATTATGATGGTGATGATGATGGTGATGGTGATTATAATGTTGGTGATGATGGTGACAGTGATAGTGGTGATGATGATGATGGTGGTGATGATGGTCATGATAGTGATGGTGATGATGATGCTGGTGATGGGAATGATGGTGGTGATGTGATGATGGTATTAATGATGGTGATGATGATGATGGTGATGATGGTGATTATAATGGTGATGATGACAATGGTGACGGTGATAGTGGTGATGGTGATGATGATGATGGTGATGATGGTCATGATGATGGTGATTATAATGGTGGTGATGATGGGGATAGCGATAGTGGTGATGGTGATGATGATGGTGACAGTGATGGTGGTGATGATGGTCATGATAGTGATGGTGATGATGATGCTGGTGATGGGAATGATGGTGGTGATGTGATAATGACGGTGATGATATTAATGATGGTGATGATGATGATGGTGATGGTATTAATGATGGTGATGATGATGATGATGTGATAATGATGGTGATGGTATTAATGGTGATGATGACGGTGGTGATGATTATAATGGTGATGATGATGGTGATGGTGATTATAATGGTGGTGATGATGGTGAAGGTGATGATGGTAATAATGGTGATGGTAATAGTGACGATGATGGTGATAGTGATAGTGGTGATGGTGATGATGATGGTGACAGTGATGATGGTCATGATAGTGATGATGATGATGATGCTGCTGATGGGAATGATGGTGGTGATGTGATAATGATGGTGATATTAATGATGATGGTGATAATGTTTATGGGGATGATGTTGCTGGTGGTGATGATGATGATGGTTGTGATATAATGATGGTGTTGATGCTGAGGATAGTAATGGTGGTGATGATGATGATGATACCCCATGATGATGATGATAAGCTTTCCTGGGTGTGAGGCACTGCTCTGAGAGCTTTCCCAGACAACCCTGGAATGCGGGTACTAATATGATTCCTACTTTATAGAGGAGACAACTGAGGCACAGGGAAGTATGATGAGTTGTTTTGAGCATTTACTGACAGAACCACACATCCACCAAAGCCCAGTCTCTGAGCTTCCAGGCCTGTGCCCTTTTCACCATCCCAACGTGATCCCCCACAAGAGGTTCTGAGGACCCATGGGCACCTTGAAGGTTAACCCAGGCCCCAGAGTCTCTGATAGTGCTGAAGTGTGCGTGAGTTGGAGTGTGGGAGGGTAAGGAAGAGGCTAGACCAATCCTCAACACCAGGGAGCTCTCCTGGAGCTGCTGGCCCCAGGTCTCTGCCTCCCTATCCAACACATGGCTATTGTGGGGTAAGTTCCCAGAAAAGCCTCCCAGGCTGGCCCTGCCAGGCAGCACAGGCGCTTTCCTGGTGGCTTTGGCTCTGCTTGTCTTGCGGTTTTCCATTTTTACCTCCTCAGCATGGTCTCCCAGATCAATCTCCACAAACACAGATGCTTTCTGCGAATGGAAACCACAGAGGTGTGGATGGCAGGCTTGGGTGAGCTGGAGAGGAACGTTGATTCCCTGGGAGGAACAGTGGCCCCTGGCCCTTGGGGCAGCCGGGGCAGACCCTGGTGATGACCATCAGGTCCCCAGATCCTGGCAATGCTGAACGAGGGCTCCTGGGACGCTGGGCAGAGCTGACGGCAGTATGGACTGTGAGGTGCCCATGTAGGAGAAGGATGTAGGAGGGATATGGCTTTCTCACCCCTCCCTACTCACCTCCCATCAGGGCCCTGAGACCCCAGAGGGTCTCCTCCAACCTCATCCTCTGAGAACTCGGGCCTCCAGGAGATGGGGCAATGCCCAGATCTTGGGGAGCCGGGCTGCTCCCACCCCAGCCCTGCTCGACAAGGCAGCACTCCTGCCCCACAGCCTGCCTGTGGGCCACACTCCACACCAAGGAGCAGGAGACCCCCCCCGGGATGTGAACGGCTTCAGCGGCTCAGGGTTTTGCTGTCCCAAGGCCTCCAACGGGGCACCTGGGCCAGCCCAGAACGTGTGTCTGATGGGAGCATTTGAGTCAACTCCAAGGGCAGTGTCTGGGGGTGGGTGAAGGACTTCCCAAGAGCCCTGGAATGAAAGCAAGGCCCGCCTGGCAAGCAGCGTGTCTGGTTGTGTTACCGTCCCCACCACACAGCTTGGAGGGAGAACAAAAGCCACTTTCCTTCACACGGTGCCACGTGAGAACCCCCACAGCATGACGTGTCCCTGGACAACACATCAAGCCTGGGGCTCTGGGTGTTTTCTGGGCCAAGGTCAAGCTGAGGGCACCTCCTCTCAGGGCCTCATACACCTTTAGTGACTGCACGTTTGGCAAGCAGGGGTCAGGCTGCCCTGGGATCGGGTAAAGAGTCTCAGAGCTTGGCCCCAAGCCTCTCTAGGGTAGCAGGGGCCCAGTCAGTCCAGCTTCACAGCCTGGCGCCTGCTGAGCTGACCCCCAGGCCACCGTCCCGGGCAGGTCCAGGCTCCGGCAGAACTCCCGCCTGGACAGGCCTCCCTTCTCACTTCTATTACTAAAGGGAAAAGCTCTTACCTCTTCTTCCTGAAGGTCATTTAGCTTTATGGACTCTGCCTCCTGTTCCTGTAAGACCAAAGAGGTTAAGTGAAGGCCGGGCTCCAAGGCAAGAGGAAAAAATGCACCGCTCCTCAGCGTGGCCCAACCTTGGCCTCCTGCAAGCCTCCGTCTGCGTGCTCGCCTTCCTGCACCTCCTGCATGCTGGCCTCCAAGTCGCTCTTCTCCCTCTCTGGGTCTTGTTTTCCACTCTCATGACCCAGCTTCCCAAGGGTGCTGAAGCTTTCCTTCTTGTCTTGTGCTAGGTTTTTCTGACTGCGGGAGGAGCAGGGAAAGTGGTTTGGAAGAGACGGCAGATAGCTGCGGGCAGCTCCTGGTCTCCTCTGGGTCTGTCTCCTTGGGCTTGAGGCTGGTGCCCCTGGGGTCTGGTGGGCACCTATGAGGTGCCCTGACCCAGCACAGAGTTCTGGCTCTGAAGGGCCCCACAGCCTGGCCCTCCTGGCTCCCTCTGCTGGCCCATCTTGCCTGGAAAACTTACCCTGTACAGCCAGGGTCTGGACTGGGATTACAGCCAACCTGGGCTTATTTTGGAAAGCAGGGTCTAACCTTGCTCAAAGAACCAAAATCTGATGAGAAGATGCAGCCACCCTGTCGCAGATCCACACTCCATGTGGATACCAAATGGGCCATGCTGGCCAGTAGGCTGGAGGGTCCACGGTTGGCCCTGCTGTTACTCGCACCAACCTCGTGACCCCTTCTGTGGTCTGCTATGGTGTGTGGCCAGGGGCAAGAGGAATGCAACAGGCAGTGAGGATGACAGGGGCTCCGCCACCATCTGCAATGGCGTTGACTTGGCCGAGGGTATTGACTGACTTGGCCAACGTGAGCAGACGCTTTCAGCTTTGCCACCCTAAAGGTGTGTGGTCTTCCCAGCTCAACTGCCCTCACCAAGGCCATCAGCTTCCCTGAGCTCTACGGAGTGGGAGGCTCCAGGCGCCGCACACATCCTGTCTAACACACGAACACTCACTCTCACCAACTGATTGCACCTTTGGCCGCTTCGGCGGCCGGACACCTTCCTTGGTCTCCACTCAACGGGAGCCATTTGTAAATAAGGGGGACTTGGCCCGTGCCTTGCCATGGTGCTGGTAAATCGACTTTGTTAGATCTGAGACAAATTTTTGAGGAATTCAATGACTTTTAAGTCTTCTTTGATGGCAGGAGGGTGAGTGGGTGGGAGAACCAGAGCTGGGTTAGAACGGGACGCGAGGTGCAGGGAGGCAAGAACTCGGCAGTACGAAGTGGGGATGTGCTGTCCAGGGCCCCACGCCCTCTCCCTAAAGGAGCACTCGAGTTGTTTACATCTAAGGTGGGCCCAGCAGTCCACTAGTGAGACGACGCCTCCTTCCCCAGAGGGCCATGGGGTGTCTACTGAGAGGGATGCAGCTGTGTGACCCTCAGGCCAGGGCCCGAGTCCTGAGGACACCACCCCGCTACAGGTGGGTCCTGTTCCCACGCTGAATTCCTCTCAAAATAAGGAGGATTTCCCAGCCCTCCCATCCAGGCCCTGCGCGGGGTCTTCGCAGGACCCAGGGCTCCCTCTGTCCCCTTCTAAGTGTCTACCTTGATGCCCGGGTACCACTCCCACACCCCACCCTCTCCTGTGTCCACCTCACTTTTCCCAGCTCCACCTTCACAAAGGCCAGCGTCGGACAGGCTGCTTACCAGCTGGCATCTTCCGCGTTACTGCTTGGGTCTTTCCCTTGATCTTCGGACTCTGGGGAGGAAGGACAGAGCCGTCAGCACCATTACACCGCAGCTACCGGAGCTCAGGACCTGCCCCAAGCCGCCCACAGCCACCCACAGCAGAGCTCAACTCTCAGCCATGGCTACAGCTAACTTGAGTTTCTCCCCGACCTGTGCCCATGCCCGGCCCTCCGGTATTTGCTATCGGCACTTTCCACAGCCTGGTGCCAGGGCCTTGAGCCTGGCTCAGCCCCAGCAGCTCAGCCCACACCTGGGCTCCACCTTCTCCCTGCAGGACTCAGGGTGAGGCATGGCCAGCCGCCTTACAGTAAACACATGAGGCTCCGGGACCTCTTGAAACTCCTCTTTGTCCTAGCACAGCTGGCTGGAGGTAGCTGAGCGGGAGGGTGGGAGAAGCCCACAAGACCTGCCCATGCCGGCTACTACCCCCAACCCAGGCTTCCTCTCACGGACAGGTGGGACTTGAAACCCCACTTGGCTTGTCCAGGAAAATCCACCAATCCCCAGGGTCTCTGGGCTCCCCGAGAGGCATTGCGGGATGTTTCTAGCAGTCTTTTTTCGGGACCACTTTATGTCTCGTGAGGATCTTTACCTTGATGTGACAGAGGACAGGGGCCCAGGAACATCAACTCGGGTGAGCGGTGCTCTGGTGCTCCCGGCAGGAACCCAAGCCTGGCTGTTGGCCACCGGCTTGCACCGAGCACACACTGCTCCCTGGCACACTTGGCTAAAGGTGTTGACTGACTTGGCCAACGTGAAACATTCCATTCTAGTTAAACACTGAGTTCTCCGTTCCCAGGAGCTTGCAAACCAGCACAGCCTTGTGAGGAAGTCATGTGGCAGAGGATTCTCCAAGCCCTAGGTGCTCAGGAGAGCCTTGGAGTGAGCGGATTCCAGATCCCACAGGGCCTCCAGCCGCATCGGAGCCGGGAATGTTTGCGGAGACCCTGGCTTCCCGCAGCTACTCCCTCTTCCCACAACACCCCCTTGGCCCGGGATTCAAATACAACAGGGATGATTCCAAAGCTTTAAATGATGCTTGTGATGGAAGAGACCAGACCTCCTCCCAGAGCTCGGCAGAGTCACATGGGCCACTCCAGGCAGGTCACTCAGCTCAGCCCACAGGCCCAAGGGGCAGCTGGGGAATGGGGCTCTTCCAGGGAAATGAGACCAATGGCCGACCACGAGGGGCTGCCCCCAACAGAGAAGCCACGAGTGGGGCCCAGAGGTGGAGCGCAGAGCCTTTGCAGAATCAACAGGCGTCCAGGGTGCATGTGGGCTCAAGGCAGGGCCTCAGTGGGTCTGGAACCCAGCGGATTCTCACTGTGCTCTTGCCGGCCTCTCTGGGCTGCCCTCCGTGAGCGCTGGTCTCCTGTGCTCCGCATGGCCCAGGCCCAGACACACCCCACTGGTGCCCCCGTGAAGTCGGCCACCCCACGTCTCCCGCATCCCGGAGGCCTCCCTGTGAAGTGGACGCGGCGTCTCACACATCCGGGCACCTGTGGGTGCACGTGGCACTGGGCATGTCATGGAGCCCACCAAGTCTGCGAGGGGTGAGGAGCTGAGTCCCTGCAGAAACCAAGGCCACGTCGGACTCTACCAGTGGTCAGCAAGGCCCGGCCCTTCTCCTCGGGTCACAGGGCTGGAAATGCCTCCTGCTCTTCTCCGGCAGAATCTCAGTTGTCTGGGGGCAGCCACAAAGCTCCAGGGAGGATGCGCTCCTGGGCCGTGGTCTCGAACCCTGAGGGTGCTGGTGCCTGGGGGAGGCTGTGCAGGGTGGACATCTTTGCCAGACAGGACAAGCGGCCACACAGAAGCCCGGCCTCCCTGCTGCGGCACCTCCCATCGTGCAGTTTTGGGCAAATCCAGCAGGTGTTGAGGGAAATGTCAGCCACAATGGGGCTCAATCCCTCCCTCCATCCGACCCCGGCCTCTAAGTCCGCACTGTGGTGGCATCGGGCGGCATTATTGGAGATCCACTCCCCGCCCCAACTTAAATTCCCGCTAAGCAGCCTTGGCGTAACTTATTCTTTTGAGAACTTTGCACGTCTTGAGGGAACCCCGTGGGGAGGGAGGTAGGGTGCAGCCTCCTAACTACTCACGCCCCCCAAATAGCACATATTTGGATTTTTAAACTCAGAGAAGAACACATATTTTTACATCATTACCTCTTAAAATTGTCCCCAGGGCTTGAGCAAGCAAACCCCGAGTCCTACCGGGCTGTCTCACTTCCACGGCCCCGTGGACACCTTTGCGAAGGGGAGGCGGAGCTGCCGAGGCCGCGGGAGGGGAGGGGAGCGCCAGCTCGCAGCTCCGTGTCAGCCCCTCAGCCCTGTGCTCTGGGCCAGTATTCAAGGTGTGAGGAGGTGACTGCAGCACCATCCCCAGGCCCACACCACCGTCCGTTCGGCACACCTGGAAACATCTCAGAGTGGCGAGTGTGGACCGACACAGGGGCAGCCTACACGTTTCGCGGTTTAGAAGCCAACCGTGTCAAACACCAGCTACGCAGGTTCCTTGCTGGTGGGTGAGGCCCAGAGCTCCTGGCAGGGACCCAGGCCCTCACCAGGGCCTTCTTGCAAACGGGGCGCCTGGCTATGATCCTCCCTTCAGGCATCGGCTGGCTTCGGAGGCCCATGAGGGTCCCAGGCCTGCCCTCCTCTCACCCCTCCCGCCCTTGGCTGTGCCCGGCTGGAGCCCCCACAGCTCCGCCCCAGCAGCGCAAGGCCTTCCCAGCAGCCCTGGGTGGGTTACGGGTGTGGACCTGGAGTGCTCCCCACTTCCACCCTTAGCGTTCCGAGCACAGGGCAGCGGGAGGCAGGAGGCCCGGCCCGGTCCCTGCTGCCGGTGGAAGGAAAATGAATCTTGGGCCCTGAATCACTGAGCTAAGGGGAGGAGTAAGGCTGGGAATGTGTCAGACAAACCTGCCTCCCATCCTCTTCCTAAACAAGAGCTGCAGAGATAAACGGCCACAGGCCTCCCTCATCATTCACCCACGAGGAAATTCCTTGTGAGCCTTAAGATCTCTGCCCTAAGCAGTTTTGTGGAGTTTCACGCTGGGAATGCACGTGGACAGCTGACCGTCAACAGGCGCAGGACAGGGACAGAGATCACGGTCCTCCCTCTGCTCACCTGAGACAAGTGTGTCCGACAGCTCCCTCTGGGCTGCTCATGAAAAACCGCAGTCACGGAGCCGGACGAGGATACAAGTGACTCTCCCTCTAGTCCCCTCACGTGTAAATTGTGTGTTCAGTGAAAGGCTGATCGAGACCCAAAGAATGCAGCCCTGTGTCTCCTCTACCTACGACCTGGAAGCCCCTCCTGCTTCAGGCTGTCCCTTTCCGGACAGAACCGACGTACCCCCTCACAGGTGCTGATTGATGCCCCACGCCCCCCTGCAATGTATGACGTCAGGCCGTGCCCCGCCTTGGACACACGTCGTTGGACCTCCTGGGGCTGTCTCGGCGCATCCCTAACCTTGGGAACTTCCTAGAACTTTCTAACTGGGCTGGGCTCTGACGCAGGTACTTTGGGTTCAGTGCCTGGTGGGACAGCCGCGCCGTCCACCCGCTCCCCGCGGCCCCACAGCCCCTACCCAGCTCCTTGTGAGGCTTCCTAGGGCGGCTGGGAGGGTCCCCCTCGGGCTGCAGGCCTCCCAGACTCCTGCTTCGCTGAAGTTCAGAGGCCTCACTGGCCGCCTTGAGGTGCCCAAGGGCCACTCCTGAGGGCAGGGCCCTGAGGCCGGGCCGGTGCCTCCTGTGTGTGGTCCCCGTGTCCTTCTCCATCCTCCAGCCCAGCCTCGGCTTGAGCACAAGGCTGCCACCCTCACACCCAGCCGTCCCGCAGGGAGTAGTCAGGAGGTGCTGGGAGTGCGTTGCCATGGGTCTGCTGTGACATCACTGTAAGGTCAGAGGCCAAAGATCAGCCGATCCCTGGCAGCACAGCGTGGCTTTCCTGCAGGCCGGGGCTGGGGCGGGTTCTGCGTCTTCCCTTCTTCTTTCCCGCAGGCCGGGGCTGGGGCGGGTTCTGCGTCTTCCCTTCTTCTTTCCCGCAGGCCGGGGTTGGGGCGGGTTCTGCGTCTTCCCTTCTTCTTTCCCGCAGGCCGGGGCTGGGGCGGGTTCTGCGTCTTCCCTTCTTCTTTCCCGCAGGCCGGGGTTGGGGCGGGTTCTGCGTCTTCCCTTCTTCTTTCCCGCAGGCCGGGGCTGGGGCGGGTTCTGCGTCTTCCCTTCTTCTTTCCCGCAGGCCGGGGCTGGGGCGGGTTCTGCGTTTTCACATCTCTGGTCTCTCCACCAGGGAGGGCGGGGAACTGGCACCAGCCCTAGCAGGGCCTGCAGATGAGACGCCGGTCTCCCTCTGTGACAGGGTATTTGAATCTTTCTCTCCCTATCAGGGCAAATGGGACACAGATCAACTCAGGAAGACAAAGGCAGCCCCTGCAGGCAGTGGTGGGGTGCAAATGCTGCCGGCCCAGCGCCTCTCCCCACCCACACGGCGCCAGGACGAAACCCTGATGTGGCCGGGGCTCCGGCGAGGGCTTTCCGGGCCGACGGTGTGAACTGCACAGGTCAGCGTGGGTTTGCTGGCACTCCCAGGCAGGCGGCTTAAACAGCGGGAGCTCATTCCCTCCGGTGCTGGGGGCAAGGTGTCTCGCAGCGCTGGTTACCCGAGGCCTCTCTCCTTGGCGCGAAGATGACGTATTCCGTGTCCTCACGTGGTGGTCCTGTGTGCTGCGTCCTCGTCTCCCCTTCTCATGAGGACGCTGGTCACACTGGGTCAGGGCCTCGCTTTACCTTGACAATCTCTACAGCTCCACGCCCAAGTGCAGCCACACCCTGAGGTCCTGAGGGTCACAGGGTCACAGCTCCAGCATGAGGATTTGCCGGGACAGAGTTCAGCCTGTACTGAGCCGAACAGAAAATCCCCGGCACGCTGTCTCCTCCAGCCTCCAGACCACGGTGGGTGGGGAGGCAACATTTTACCTCTTGGGGTTTTTTGGTCGGGCCTGATAATTAAAATCAGCAGATGAGCTGGAGAAAGGCACACGCACTCCAGCACGGTCTGTGTGGCCGGGAATGGCCTTTCCTTCCTGAAAGAGGAGGTAACACCCCACGGGGAAGACGCTCTCCAGAGCCAGAAGAAAGCAGCGTTCTTATCCTTGTGGATGGCTGTTTCAGCTCAAAACAACCCTTACAACAGTGTGGCTTATTTGGGCAGCCCCTTCTGCCCCTTGACAGGCACCTCGCGAGCCGGCGCACCCCCCCGCCCCCAGGACCCGCTTCCCGCACCCGGGGCTCCTCAGCCAGGGGGAAGCAGGTGTGACCCCCAGGCTGCAGGCTCCCCTCCTTCTGATCTCTTCTTTTGAAGAGCCCACAGCCTCTCAGCACCCAGGAGGCCTCAGCTCTCTGGGCAAGTGGTGGGTGCAGGGTGGGGGCCTTGGCCTCACACACGCTCTGGCACTGCCTGGCCTCCTGGGACGGTTCCTCAGAGGCACCTGCTTTGGACACTCTGATGTCGGGAGCCCCGCGGATGCTGCCAGGATGGGAGAGGAGGCCGCTGTCTCTCTCCAACAAGTGCTGGGTCGTCTGGAGCAACAAGGGCAAATGGGCGTCACTGGGGTCTCCACAAAGCCACCTGCAGTCTCTTGGTGGGTGTATTAGACAGTTTCCATGCTGCTGATAAAGACATACCTGAGACTGGGTAATTTATAAAGAAGAGGTTGAATGGATTCAGTTCCACATGGCTGGGGAGGCCCTGCGATCATGGTGGAAGGTGAAAGGCACGTCTTACATGGCAGCAGCAGGAGAGAATGAGACCAAGCAAAAGGAGAAACCCTCATAAAACTTTCACATCGGATCTCGTGGGACTTATACCACGAGAACAGTATGGGGGAACCGCCCCATGATTCAATCACCTCCCACCAAGTCCCACCCACCACACAGATTCAATCACCTCCCACCGGGTCCCGCCCACCACACAGATTCAATCACCTCCCACTGGGTCCCGCCCACCACACAGATTCAATCACCTCCCACCGGGTCCCGCCCACCACACAGATTCAATCACCTCCCACCGGGTCCCGCCCACCACACAGATTCAATCACCTCCCACCGGGTCCCGCCCACAACACAGATTCAATCACCTCCCACCACACAGATTCAATCACCTCCCACCACACAGATTCAATCACCTCCCACCACACAGATTCAATCACCTCCCACCGGGTCCCGCCCACCACACAGATTCAATCACCTCCCACCGGGTCCCGCCCACAACACAGATTCAATCACCTCCCACCACATAGATTCAATCACCTCCCACCACACAGATTCAATCACCTCCCACTGGGTCCCACCCACCACACATGGGAATTATGGGAGCTGCAACTGAAGATGAGGTTTGGGTGGGGACACAGCCAAACCATATCAGTGGAGACGCGCAGGGGCTTCCGGCCCCCATACACTCCCACCTCCCACTGCCCTGTAGGACTCTCCTGGCTGTTCCAGAAGGGGCTTCCATTCTCCACGTTCCCTGGGGCCTCGTCCTCCTTGCCCTTCTACTTCCTCTTGGAGGGGCTGACCTTGGCCCTCCTGGGCTGACCCCAGCACAGCTGTGCCCAGAGTGTGAACGGAGCCCCCTGGCTCCCGACACTGCCTGAGGCCCTGCCGGGAAGTGTGGCTCCAGGAGGACGGGCTGGCCTCCCGGGGAGGATGCCCCCACCTGCAAGGGTTTGTCCACCACCCATAGCCACTCCTGGACTGGGGCAGACCCCACACCTCAGCATGGACTAAGGAGGCCGGCCAGGCTGAACCAAGCCTCACCCTTCCCTGGGAGAAAGGCCTGGGTTGGTGTCCCCAAAGCCACACCTCCTCATTTTTCTCATACCAGAGCTGACTCACAATAGAATTACCAAAAAAGAGGAATTCAAATGGAGCAAGGAAAGGAATAAAGAAATGAGGCAACGTATCATGGAGTCTTCACCCAGAGCCCCCCTTAACCCTCTCCTGCCTGGAGGGACAGCAGCCACCTGCCTAGAGGCGCAGTCCGTTCTCTTCTCCCAGGGCCTCCAAGTGGCCTCCCCCTCTGCATTCCTGGAGATGGCAGCACGTGGTGGTCTGTCTGCCCAGCACTCCTTGAGTGGACACACCTTTCCTGAGGTTATCACAGGGCCGGACTCTCACCTGAGGCACCACAGGTGAATGCCACTGTCAGAGCAGCGCTGCCCATCACCAAAGATGTCAACTGTCACCAGTGATGTCACCTGTCATCAGGGCGGTGCCACCTGTCAGAGCAGCGCTGCCCGTCATGAGGCGTCAACTGTCACCAGCGATGTCACCTGTCACCTGTCAGAGCAGCGCTGCCTGTCACCAGAGATGTCACTTGGCATCAGCAATGTGACCTGTCATCAGGGCAGTGCCACCTGTCAGAGCAGCATCACCCATCACCAGGGACGTCACTTGGCATCAGCAATGTCATCCTGCTCCCCAGGTGCCACCCTCCTCCCTGTACCCCCCACCCCTAATGCCCACATGTGCAATTCCCAGTGGGTACCACTGGAAAACCAAGGCAGTCCTCAGAAAGAATAAAACATCTGTTTTAATTGGCCAGTAAAATACATTGCAAATCATTAGTATTTTATAAACAGAAACATTAAGTTATAAATCCATGTTAAAAATTGCAGCTCAGTGCAGCCCCAACAGCTGTGTGTCCAAAAGTCTATTTTTACAACATTTTCCTCCAGTATTTTTGTGACAAGAAAGTTCCTATCTGCCATCTAGATCAAGAGCCTGAACTACAGTATTTTCAAACAAGAACCGGGAGAAGTCGGTACAAGGATACGTCGTGCTGTGTATTTAAACGGCGCTTCCCACACACCTGCCGTCTGCATCCCGGGAGGACGCCCTTTGGGAAAGGCCTCCTCGGCAGTGTGAGGTCTGGAGGGGTCTGCCTGGACCCCATTTTTAGGATGCTCCCCTCCCCAATAAAACAGCAGCCCCCGCCCCTGCCCTGCACAGCATCTGGGGGTTCATAACACAGGTGCAATACTGACCATGGGCCCTGGAGGGACGTCTGCACCCCGAAGCCCCTGTACCTCAAACTCAGAGTTTCTTCCCTTCTTTGATTTTCTGGAGGACCTGCAGCTGGCCTTCCTGAGACAGGCTCCATTCCTGTTCCATTTGCCTTCCCGGCAGCCTTCCCTTTAGTGGGTATAGGTTTTGACGTTCTGAGTTACTTTGTATCAAAGAGCTAATTAAAAATGGTCCTTCAAAAACATAAAGAAAAACAGCTTGAAAAATGTACATTTCTATTTTTAAAATCTTCAAACTTCCACGGGGGGTGGCAAATGTTAATTCTGATTTTAAACCCCATTCAACAGCAAAACGATGTGGGCTTCAACTGTGGGCTCCGCAGACGCCTGGAGAAGCTGGAGCCCACACCTTTCCCTCCAAGGGACTCTGTGGACAGAACCCGTATCCCCCAAGCACCAAGGACATCCTCAGACTGGGACTTCTGTGTAATTCTGCACCTCCCAGCCATAAAACTGACCCCTCAGCCAGGAATCAAACGAACCTCGAAAGTGGAACAGGGAGGCCGCCTCCCATGGCTGCCTGGATGGCAGGCACAGTGGGAGAGTAATGCTCTGAACCTCCCAATGTGATGAAGCCGAAAGCCGAGGCGGGGCCAGCAGGCCTCCCGGGCACAGAGCCACAGAGCCCAGCGTCACACGCACCGTGCACGCAAGACAGACGTGCACGAGACTGACGCACACACGGCCGGAGGTGCATGTCACAGTCGACTAGACGGGCCGTGGCTCCCTGAGGCTGGCTGTGGTGTGGCTAGGGCACAGCCCACACTTCCTGATCCTTCAGCTGATCCCCAGATCCCCACAAACAAGGAGCAAAAAGCACAGAATCAAATGACGACACGTTCCACAGGGCCAGGTGGGCTTTCTGCGGAGGGCGTGGCGGTGGTGGCAGCGGTTCTGGGAGAGGGAAACCCCAGCGCCACTTGTCTATGGGCCGGGACGGCGTGCATCTCACTTTGCCGGCTCTGCGCTCTTCCTTCTCTTCTCCCTCCCAAAGGCTGCGGCTTTGCATGGGCAGCTTGCTGGCGCCACTGGGCGCGTCCCGCAGACTTTAAATGGAATGAGTGGAGGTCTCGGACTGCTGCCGGATGTAGTTCTGGAAGCTCTTGTCTCCGATGGGGTGCTCCCTGAAAAGGGGGATGGGAGAGGGAATGAGGCACAGACCCCGTTGCCTGGTGCTCACCCGTGGCTGCGGGAGCTTTTCCTGTTCCTAAATGTGACACACTCACACTGCAATCCACACAAAAAATAGAGGAGCCAAAGGAACCACAGTGCCCCCGGAAGCACCCACGGTGACTCTGATGTGTGTGCACAGGTGGGTCAGGCGTGCAAGTACATGTGCACGTGTGCTCTCCCTGTGGCACGTGTGTAGCGCATATACATGTGCAGATGTGGAATATGTAGAGTGTATGGCACGTGTGCAGAATGTGCACATCTGCACTGCAAAGAGTGTGCTCATGTGTGGGGAGCATGAGCTCCAGGGACACAGATCTGTCCCAGTGCTGGGACACTCAGCAGGCGTGGGCACCTCCTCCCCACATGCACACCTCCCTCATACCATGTGTGTGCACCTCCTGCCATGTGTGTCCACTACCTCCATGTGTGTGCACCTCCTCCTACGTGCCTACCACCTCCATGTGTGCATCTCCTCCCACGTGTGTGCACCTCCTTCCACGTGTACCTCCTCCCATGTGTGTGCACCCCTCCGTGTGTACACCTCCCACGTGTGCACCTGTGTGTGCACCTCTGTGTGCCTCCTGTGTGCACCTCCTCCCATGTGTGTGCACCACCTCCCACGTGTGTGCACCCCTCTCGCATGTGTGCACCTCCTCTGTGTGTACCTCCTGCCACGTGTGTGCACACCTCCTCCCACGTGTGTGCACCTCCTCCCACGTGTGTGCACCACCTCCTCCCATGTGTGTGCACCTCCTGCTGTGTGCGCCTCCTCCATGTGTGCCTTCTCCCACATGTGCGCACCTCCTCCCACGTGTGCACCTTCTGCCATGTATGTGCACCTCCTCCGTCTGTGCCTTCTCCCACATGTGTGCACCTCCTGCCATGTGTGTGCGCCTCCTCCGTGTGTGTGCCTCCTCCCACGTGTGCACCACCTCCTCCCACGTGTTCACCTCCTCCGTGTGTGCACCTCCTGCCATGTGTGTGCACCTCCACCCATGTGTGTGCACCTCCTGCCATGTGTGTGCATCTTGTACCATGTGTGCCTCGTGTGCGCCTTCTACTACAACAAACAGCATCATGCTTCGCGCATTTTCAACCTGCTGGCTTTTGGCCATGAGGTTGATGGACCTGCTGATATCAACGAGGCAACATATTTGGAAGGCAAATGGGGCTGTCTCCCCAGAAGGGTGTCGAGAGGGATCTGATATGATGATGTCAGAGGTGAAGTCACAGCACTCAGGAGGTGTTGCAGGCTCAGTCCCCTGAGCAACTCGGTCCAAGTCCGGGCCACAGGGACCTGTCACTCTCCTGGAGCCTCACCACTGCCCTTCCCAGACCAGACCCGCATGGTGGAAGGAAGGAGGGGTTAAGAAGGAAGGAAGGGAAGGAGGGAGAAGAAGGGTGGAGGAGGAGAGAGGGAGGATCGAAGGGAGGGAGGACCAAAGAGAGGAGTGAGCAGGAGGATGGAAGTGAGGAGGAGGCTGTACAGCTACACAGGGCTCTAGGGCTTACCCGCCCCTGAATGAGCCCGTGTGGGGGCTTCTGCCATGGTGGACCTGGGTACCCACTGGATGGAGAGAGTGACACAGACACATCTGCTCACTCCAGGCTAAGAGCCAGCCTAGCACTTTACATAGTTTAAGTCAATCTTCCAGCAACTCATGAGGGTCTTACAACCCTCTGTTCCATGGAGTGAGGGGGAGTGGAGCTTAGCTAAGCGCCACCTAGCCTGCAGCTGGTGACTAAGCTGAACGTACTCAACCTCGCCACACCTGCCTCATGAGACAAGAGTGGGTTTCGTCCAGAGCTGGCCCTGCTCCCGGGCACCATGGGTGGCCTGGAGAGATGCC
Organism: Homo sapiens; assembly: GCF_000001405.40. Taxonomy (NCBI): domain Eukaryota; kingdom Metazoa; phylum Chordata; class Mammalia; order Primates; family Hominidae; genus Homo; species Homo sapiens. The sequence continues at coordinate 113,981,322 of NC_000013.11, forward strand.
AGAGGGTGTGCCACTGAACCAAGGCAGAACAAGACCTGGGCCTAGAGACTGCCAGAGCACGTGACACCAGTATAGCAGAGAGGCTGGGAGGAAGCAGGTCAGGGAGGCAGCCCGGACGCTGGCTGGGGGCCTGGAGAGCAAAGGCAGCACCTGCTCTGAAGGAGGGACCAGCAGCGCCGGGCCACGTCCACTGACTACCGCCAGGTGCCAGCCCGGTGCAAGTGGGACTCTCCTCCCAGGCGGACACCTGAGCACGGGCGGCCCCACCCGGGAGCTCCCTGCAGCCCCACCCCCACTGCAATCTCCCGCCCACTACACTGGCCGTCCAGGGCAGGCACGGGAGTGGCACTCACTGGCTTCCATATTTCGTCTTCTTGAACTTGTCCCTCTTATACTGGGCGTGCTCCTGCTCCAAAGCCCCAACCCCAGCGATGACTTGCTTTAGCGTCTTGTAGGTCTCCTGGGGGTCGTCAATGACGAACGTCGAATACTCCTCCTGCTCCGGGCCGTCATACACAGATTTGCTCCCACAGGCCTCTGTGGAGGGCGGAGGGGTCAGCGCAGGGCAGGAGCCCAGGCCACCGGCCCCGTCTCCACACAGCTGCGTCGCTGCAGGCCCCACCCACAGTACACATCCTTCCAACGCAAGCTCCTCCAGAAAGGGCTGACCACCACTCGTAAACGCAGACGGAGATAGAAACCATTCCCGCAGGTAGGCGAGTTGTGCCCACACTGAGCCCAGGGAAAGCCCATTGGGAGCTGGATGCTGAGCAACCTCATTCACCTCTGAGGGCTCTGCTGCCCCTAGCTCCCAGCCTTGTCACCAATCAGCCATTCTCACAGGGGGATGTGCACATCTCTGCACGCCCCACCAGCCCGCCCAGCCAGAACCAGGAGGAGAGACACCTGCAGCTGGACGCTGGGCTGGCTCATGGGCCCTGGGGCAGCCCTGAAGAGTCAGCTGAGGGAGTGAGCACGATGGGGTTCAGCACATTTCACACCCAGCTGCCACTGAGCATGTCCAGCCAGGACAGGCCTAGCCCAGGGCTGGCCGAGCACAGGGCGGACACCAGTCTGTGCCGCAGCTTCTAAAGACCACTGCCCCGGACCCCACCTACGCACCGGGGCCACCTTCCTAATCGGACCACATCACTCCTGCTGAAGGCCATTCTGGTGCCTCGCCCCTAGCGGACAGCCATGGAACCCTTGAGCCAGGGCAGGGCCCTGTGCCACCTGAGTCCAAACACCTGAACCAGGTACACGTCTCTGCCTCACTGCTCACAGCGCCTGGGCACGCACTCCCGGAGCCAGCACCGATGCCCTGCAGCTGTGTCCATCTGGATGGAATGAATGTTTGTGCCCCCAAATCTGTGGGTTGAAATCCTAACTCTCAAGGGATGGCATCAGGAGATGAGGCCTTTGGGAGGTGACAAGGCGTGAGGGTGGAACCCTTGTGCAGGGGATGGGCGTCCCTATAGAAGACACCAAGGAAGCTGGCTTGCCTCTTCCACATGTGAGGACACAATGAGACACTGGCGGGCTGCAGCCCAGAAGAGGACCCGCAGTTAAACCAGCACTGCTACGCCCGGATCTCAAGCTTCTCAGGCCTTCAATCTGGGAAGTGAATTCCTGCTGTCTGTAACCACCCAGCCTATGGTACAATTTTTACGGCAGCCCAAACTCACCAAGAACTTGGTACTGAGAAGTGGCTGCTGCTGTACCTTCAAATGTGGACTGGCTTTGGAACTGGGTGCTGGGCGAAGGCTGAAGGGGTTTGGGGGTGCAGAGCGGAAAAGGCATGGCTGCCATGAATGTCCTTAAAGGACAATGCTGGGGGCTCGGGAGAGGAGAGCTGCAGAGAAGTCCTGTCTTAGGGGATATCTAAGTAACCCTGAACAGAATGGTGGCATGAGCATGGGTGGCAAGGCTGTTCTAACAACATCTCAGACAGAAAGGACGGCCATGCTACTGGACCGTGGAGAAAAAGCCATCCTCGTGACAAAGTGGACCTGTGTTCATGCCCTCGTGTTCTGGGAGGGTGGAACTCGCGAGTGATGACATCAGACACGTAATTGAGGAGATTTCTAAGCAAAATGCTGTGGGAGCGGCTTGGTTCCTCCTGACCGCTGACAGCAAAATGTGGGGAGAGAGATGATTTGAAGGTGGAATTGTTGAGCAAAAAGGAACCAGAACTCAAAGGCTGGTTGAGTTAAAAGATTTGAGAATTAAAATTCCAGCCTACCCATATCTCAAAAAAAATGAGACAGCATGTTTGGAAGAGACCATTAAGCAGGTGGCTGTGTGGCTATCTGATAAGGAGACAAGTGTGGGGCTGAGCCTTGGACTTGACCAACCATCTCAGCAACAGCCGGGAGCAGAGAAGGAACCGCACCAGCAGAGGCACTGCCAGAAGAAACCAGGAAACAGAGAAAACAGGATGAAATGAAGGCAGGCTGCGGTGTCTTAAGCCCTACAAGCCAGGCCATAGAGCTATTCAGCTGTGAACATGTGCCATTCTTCAAGACGAGGGAAGAAGGACCCTGAAGCGGGTAGGGCCATCAGAATGCCACTCTCACCCAGAATGAGTCCATGGACCATGTATCAGATGCAAAATTCTCAGCTGGAATATTGATTAAAAAATAAAACTGGCAATAACTAGAAAAAAAATCGCAATAAGGAATCTGTCCACCCAGCCATCACTCACCCATCCGTCCATCCACCCATCTGTCCATCTACCCATTACTCACCCATCCATCCCTCCACCCATCACTCACCCATCCATCCATCCACCCATGACTCACCCATCTGTCGATCCACCCATCATCACTCACTCCTCGGTCCATCCACCCATCACTCACCCCTCAGTCCATCCATCACTCACCCATCTGTCCATCCATCACTCACCCATCTGTCCATCCATCCATTACTCACCCATCTGTCCATCCACCCATCACTCATCCCTCGGTCCATCCACCCATCACTCACCCTATCCATCCACCCATCACTCACCCATCCGTCCACCTACCCATCACTCACCCATCCGTCCACCCATTCATCACTCACCCATCTGTCAATCCACCCATCACTCACCCCTTTGTCCATGAACTCAACACTCATCCATCTGTCCATCCACCCATCACTCACCCATCCGTCCATCCACCCATCACTCACCCATCCGTCCATCCACCCATTACTCACCCATCCATCCATCCACCCATCACTCACCCACCCATCCATCCATCCACCCATCACTCACCCTTTGGTCCATGAACCTAACACTCACCCATCTGTCCATCCACCTATCACTCACCCATCCATCCATCCACCATCACTCACCCATCCTTCCATCCACCCATCACTCATCCATCTGTCTATCCACCCATCACTCACCCTGTCCATCCATCCATCACTCACCCATCTGTCCATCCACCCATTACTCACCCATCCATCCATCCACCCATCACTGACCCACCCATCCATCCATCCACCCATCACTCACCCTTTGGTCCATGAACCTAACACTCACCCATCTGCCCATCCACCCATCACTCAACCATCTGTTAATCCACCCATCACTCGTCCATTGCTCCATCCACCCATCAGTCACCCATTGGTCCATCTGAATTCCTGCTGTCTGTAACCACCCAGCCTATGGTACAATTTTTACGGCAGCCCAAACTCACCAAGAACTTGGTACTGAGAAGTGGCTGCTGCTGTACCTTCAAATGTGGACTGGCTTTGGAACTGGGTGCTGGGCGAAGGCTGAAGGGGTTTGGGGGTGCAGAGCGGAAAAGGCATGGCTGCCATGAATGTCCTTAAAGGACAATGCTGGGGGCTCGGGAGAGGAGAGCTGCAGAGAAGTCCTGTCTTAGGGGATATCTAAGTAACCCTGAACAGAATGGTGGCATGAGCATGGGTGGCAAGGCTGTTCTAACAACATCTCAGACAGAAAGGACGGCCATGCTACTGGACCGTGGAGAAAAAGCCATCCTCGTGACAAAGTGGACCTGTGTTCATGCCCTCGTGTTCTGGGAGGGTGGAACTCGCGAGTGATGACATCAGACACGCAATTGAGGAGATTTCTAAGCAAAATGCTGTGGGAGCGGCTTGGTTCCTCCTGACCGCTGACAGCAAAATGGGGGAAGAGAGATGATTTGAAGGTGGAATTGTTGAGCAAAAAGGAACCAGAACTCAAAGGCTGGTTGAGTTAAAAGATTTGAGAATTAAAATTCCAGCCTACCCATATCTCAAAAAAAATGAGACAGCATGTTTGGAAGAGACCATTAAGCAGGTGGCTGTGTGGCTATCTGATAAGGAGACAAGTGTGGGGCTGAGCCTTGGACTTGACCAACCATCTCAGCAACAGCCGGGAGCAGAGAAGGAACCGCACCAGCAGAGGCACTGCCAGAAGAAACCAGGAAACAGAGAAAACAGGATGAAATGAAGGCAGGCTGCGGTGTCTTAAGCCCTACAAGCCAGGCCATAGAGCTATTCAGCTGTGAACATGTGCCATTCTTCAAGACGAGGGAAGAAGGACCCTGAAGTGGGTAGGGCCATCAGAATGCCACTCTCACCCAGAATGAGTCCATGGACCATGTATCAGATGCAAAATTCTCAGCTGGAATATTGATTAAAAAATAAAACTGGCAATAACTAGAAAAAAAATCGCAATAAGGAATCTGTCCACCCAGCCATCACTCACCCATCCGTCCATCCACCCATCTGTCCATCTACCCATTACTCACCCATCCATCCCTCCACCCATCACTCACCCATCCATCCATCCACCCATGACTCACCCATCTGTCGATCCACCCATCATCACTCACTCCTCGGTCCATCCACCCATCACTCACCCCTCAGTCCATCCATCACTCACCCATCTGTCCATCCATCACTCACCCATCTGTCCATCCATCCATTACTCACCCATCTGTCCATCCACCCATCACTCACCCATCCGTCCACCCATTCATCACTCACCCATCTGTCAATCCACCCATCACTCACCCCTTTGTCCATGAACTCAACACTCATCCATCTGTCCATCCACCCATCACTCACCCATCCGTCCATCCACCCATCACTCACCCATCCGTCCATCCACCCATTACTCACCCATCCATCCATCCACCCATCACTGACCCACCCATCCATCCATCCACCCATCACTCACCCTTTGGTCCATGAACCTAACACTCACCCATCTGCCCATCCACCCATCACTCAACCATCTGTTAATCCACCCATCACTCGTCCATTGCTCCAGTCCACCGATCACTCACCCATCTGTCCATCACCATCACTCACCCATCTGTCCATCCACCCATCACTCAACCCTCGGTCCATCCTCTCATCACTCACCCTGTCCTCCACCCATCACTCACCCATCTGTTCATCCACCCATCACTCACCCATCCTTCCATCCACCCATCTCTCACCCATCTGTCCATCCACCCATCACTCACCCATCCGTCCATCCACCATCACTCACCCATCCTTCCATCCACCCATCACTCATCCATCTGTCTATCCACCCATCACTCACCCCAGTCCATCCTCTCATCACTCACCCTGTCCATCCATCCATCACTCACCCATCTGTCCATCCGAATTCCTGCTGTCTGTAACCACCCAGCCTATGGTACAATTTTTACGGCAGCCCAAACTCACCAAGAACTTGGTACTGAGAAGTGGCTGCTGCTGTACCTTCAAATGTGGACTGGCTTTGGAACTGGGTGCTGGGCGAAGGCTGAAGGGGTTTGGGGGTGCAGAGCGGAAAAGGCATGGCTGCCATGAATGTCCTTAAAGGACAATGCTGGGGGCTCGGGAGAGGAGAGCTGCAGAGAAGTCCTGTCTTAGGGGATATCTAAGTAACCCTGAACAGAATGGTGGCATGAGCATGGGTGGCAAGGCTGTTCTAACAACATCTCAGACAGAAAGGACGGCCATGCTACTGGACCGTGGAGAAAAAGCCATCCTCGTGACAAAGTGGACCTGTGTTCATGCCCTCGTGTTCTGGGAGGGTGGAACTCGCGAGTGATGACATCAGACACGCAATTGAGGAGATTTCTAAGCAAAATGCTGTGGGAGCGGCTTGGTTCCTCCTGACCGCTGACAGCAAAATGGGGGAAGAGAGATGATTTGAAGGTGGAATTGTTGAGCAAAAAGGAACCAGAACTCAAAGGCTGGTTGAGTTAAAAGATTTGAGAATTAAAATTCCAGCCTACCCATATCTCAAAAAAAATGAGACAGCATGTTTGGAAGAGACCATTAAGCAGGTGGCTGTGTGGCTATCTGATAAGGAGACAAGTGTGGGGCTGAGCCTTGGACTTGACCAACCATCTCAGCAACAGCCGGGAGCAGAGAAGGAACCGCACCAGCAGAGGCACTGCCAGAAGAAACCAGGAAACAGAGAAAACAGGATGAAATGAAGGCAGGCTGCGGTGTCTTAAGCCCTACAAGCCAGGCCATAGAGCTATTCAGCTGTGAACATGTGCCATTCTTCAAGACGAGGGAAGAAGGACCCTGAAGTGGGTAGGGCCATCAGAATGCCACTCTCACCCAGAATGAGTCCATGGACCATGTATCAGATGCAAAATTCTCAGCTGGAATATTGATTAAAAAATAAAACTGGCAATAACTAGAAAAAAAATCGCAATAAGGAATCTGTCCACCCAGCCATCACTCACCCATCCGTCCATCCACCCATCTGTCCATCTACCCATTACTCACCCATCCATCCCTCCACCCATCACTCACCCATCCATCCATCCACCCATGACTCACCCATCTGTCGATCCACCCATCATCACTCACTCCTCGGTCCATCCACCCATCACTCACCCCTCAGTCCATCCATCACTCACCCATCTGTCCATCCATCACTCACCCATCTGTCCATCCATCCATTACTCACCCATCTGTCCATCCACCCATCACTCACCCATCCGTCCACCCATTCATCACTCACCCATCTGTCAATCCACCCATCACTCACCCCTTTGTCCATGAACTCAACACTCATCCATCTGTCCATCCACCCATCACTCACCCATCCGTCCATCCACCCATCACTCACCCATCCGTCCATCCACCCATTACTCACCCATCCATCCATCCACCCATCACTCACCCACCCATCCATCCATCCACCCATCACTCACCCTTTGGTCCATGAACCTAACACTCACCCATCTGTCCATCCACCTATCACTCACCCATCCATCCATCCACCATCACTCACCCATCCTTCCATCCACCCATCACTCATCCATCTGTCTATCCACCCATCACTCACCCCAGTCCATCCTCTCATCACTCACCCTGTCCATCCATCCATCACTCACCCATCTGTCCATCCACCCATTACTCACCCATCCATCCATCCACCCATCACTGACCCACCCATCCATCCATCCACCCATCACTCACCCTTTGGTCCATGAACCTAACACTCACCCATCTGCCCATCCACCCATCACTCAACCATCTGTTAATCCACCCATCACTCGTCCATTGCTCCATCCACCCATCAGTCACCCATTGGTCCATCTGCCCATCACTCACCCATCTGTCCATCCACCCATCACTCGCCCATCTGTCCATCCACCCATCACTCACCCTGTCCGTACACCCATCACTCACCCTGTCCGTACACCCATCACTCACCCATCGGCCCATCCACCCATCACTCACCCATCTGTCAGTCCACCCATCACTCACCCATCTGTCCATCACCATCACTCACCCATCTGTCAGTCCACCGATCACTCACCCATCTGTCCATCACCATCACTCACCCATCTGTCCATCCACCCATCACTCAACCCTCGGTCCATCCTCTCATCACTCACCCTGTCCTCCACCCATCACTCACCCATCTGTTCATCCACCCATCTACCCATCCATCCATCCACCCATCTCTCACCCATCTGTCCATCCACCCATCACTCACCCATCCGTCCATCCACCCATTACTCACCCATCTGTTCATCCACCCATCACTCACCCATCCTTCCATCCACCCATCTCTCACCATCTGTCCATCCACCCATCACTCACCCATCCGTCCATCCATCACTCACCCATCCTTCCATCCACCCATCTCTCACCCATCCGTCCATCCACCCGTCACTCACCCATCTGTCCATCCACCATCACTCACCCATGCTTCCATCCACCCATCACTCACCCATCCGTCCATCCACCATCACTCACCCATCCTTCCATCCACCCATCACTCATCCATCTATCCACCCATCACTCACCCCAGTCCATCCTCTCATCACTCACCCTGTCCATCCATCCATCACTCACCCATCTGTCCATCCACCCATCTACCCATCCATCCATCCATCCACCCGTCACTCACCCATCCTTCCATCCACCCATCTCTCACCCAACCGTCCATCCACCCATCTACCCACCCACTCAGCTGCCTGCCCCGCCATCTGTCCAGCACACCCATCCAGGTGCTAGGCACTTCCTCTGTGCCAGGCCCAGGAAGGTCACTGCATATGGAAGCTGAGGAGATGGGAGATGGTTGTGACTTTGGTGACACAGGTGAGCCCAGGTGATGTGGTTTGGATTTGTGTCCCCACCCAAATCTCAGGTCAGACTGTAATCCCTAGTGTTGGAGGAGGGGCCTGGAGGAAGGAGAGGGGATCATGGGGACAGACTTCCCCATTGCTGTTCTCGTGATAGTGAGTTCTCACGAGGTCTGGTTGTTTGGACGTGTGTGGCATCTACCCCCATCTCTCTCTCTTGCTCCTGCATGTAGGAGGTGCCTCCTTCCTTCCTCTTTGCCCTCCCACCATGATCGAAAGTTTCCTGAGGCCTCCCCAACCATGCTTCCTGTACAGCCTGCAGAACTGTGAGTCAATCAATCTTCTTTTCTTTATAGCAACATGAGAACTAATACACCAGGCTATGGGGATGGTGAGGTTGGGAAGCGCCTGGAGGAAGACACTTCCAAGGTAAACAGGGTCTGCCAGCCTGATGCGCAAGGGTGTTCCCAGCAGAGGAAGAGCTGGAGCTGTGATGCGGGGCGCACGGCCTAGGAGGAGCTGAGCAAGGTTGGACAGTGGTGCAGGGAGCAAGCTGATCATGGAGGGCCTGGTCAGCATCTTTCAGAACCTGGGTCTTGTGTGTGATGACCTCACCCTCTCCGAGGCTCCCTGACTCTGGCCTCTGCTGTGTCGGTTCCTGCTATGAGAGGGCTGGGAAGAGGCTGGCTGATGCCAGACCCACTGTCTTGGCCACCCTGAGGCCTTGTGCCATCTTCACAGTATCCAGGGACCTCAGACCCAGGGACAGCACCTCGCACACTTGCTGGGGGAGAAGACGCTGTGGTGGGTGGTGGCCCATGAGTGTGTACATGTGTGGTTGTCTGCACATGTGTGTGCATGCCTGCACATGGGCCTGCACATGTGAGCGTGTTGTGTTCAACTGCACATGTGTGCAGGTATTGTTGCCTTGCCTGTCTGCACACACATGTACCTGTATGTTCATTTCACACATGTATTGCTGGGAACATGTGTGTACATGGCTATGCATACATGTGTATGTGCCTGTGTGTTAGTGTAGGCCTGGAACCCACGTACACCCAGGGCATGTGGGGCTGGAGAACAGGCGTGGCCAAGCTCACAGATGGGCAGCTGCACGGACACCCAGGGCATGTGGGGCTGGAGATCAGGCGTGGCCAAGCTCACAGATGGGCAGCTGTGCGGACACCCAGGGCATGTGGGGCTGGAGAACAGGCGTGGCCAAGCTCACAGATGGGCAGCTGCACGGACACCCAGGGCATGTGGGGCTGGAGATCAGGCGTGGCCAAGCTCACAGATGGGCAGCTGTGCGGACACCCAGGGCATGCGGGGCTGGAGAACAGGCGTGGCCAAGCTCACAGATGGGCAGCTGCGCGGACACCCAGGGCGTGTGGGGCTGGAGAACAGGCGTGGCCAAGCTCACAGATGGGCAGCTGCATGGACACTCAGGCAGGACTCATGTGTTTCCAGGCCAAGGCACACTTGACACTTCTGGGTTAAATCAGGGGAATGAAAAGAAGAAAATCTAACAGGCATAACTCCAGGCACATTCCGCTCTATTTCCATTCTGAGTGGGACTCAAGGGCCCTGTCATATGATCTCCAAGAGCAGATCCGAGTTCTACCAGACACTGGCATAGAAACAAACGCAGCTGCTTCACCCCCGTGGGCTTTTCTTGTCTCTGCCTCTCCTGAATCACAGACCTCAAACCACTGTCCCCATGTGGTCTAACTGGGCTTATCTGGATTGCTATTTCAATTCTGTAAAGCAATTCAATGTCACAGATAATGATACATACTGCATATAGATTTGAAACACACGGTGTGCCTGGCACTGTTTCAAATATATATGCAGTATCGTTATCTGTGACATTGAATTGCTTTACAGAATTAGATGGCATGTGTGTACCCACATATATGCATGCTGACACATGTGCCCAAAGACATACATGCATACTCACACGTGCCCTCATGTTTCCACACATGCACAAATTCATGCATGCTCACGTGTCCCCACACACACATGCTCACACATGTACCCACACATTCACTCTCATACATGTCATGTCCATACATTCACACACACTCACACACGTCCATTCATGCACTCACACGTGTCCACACATTCACACATGCTCACACATGTCCACATTCACACATCCACACTCATACATGTCATGTCCACACATTCACACACGCTCACACATGTCCACATTCACACGCTCACACATGCCTACACATATGCACACATCTCATACGTGTGTCCGCACACATGCAAGCACACTCACATACGTGTCCACACACATGCACTTATCCCTCTGGAAAACAAAGGAATGAAAAAATAGGTCCTCTAAAGAAACTTGGCAGTACAGAGGTTACAAGTTAAATTCCATCTAAAAATTATCTATAGAACCTATTATACAGGTAATTGTCCCCCAGATAGCTGCCTACCCTGCAAAAAGCTTTTCGCATCCATCCGTGCTACAAAGACAACTACATGTAGCCCACACTACACCAGAGGCTCAGACCACAGGTTTTCACCCCACAGCATGCTCCTGAGGCCGGGGCCTCGCCAGCCATCCCCTCGCTGCACAGATCTGTGTGCCGGGCAGACTCACCCTGCATCTTCTCCAGCTTGCTCATGTACAAGTTGAAGAGGGAGTAGATACGCTCCGTCTCACGGTCCCCATCAATGTCCAGCTGGATGTTGGCTGGGAGGCCGCTGTCCAGACACAGCAAGAACAGAAAGATAAAAACACTTATTTAAACGATGCTTTTAATAATGACATTCATTTTTAAAATGTCACTGAAGAAAGACAACGATTGTGTTGGAAGTGAAATTCGACAGGATCGATTTGCTGTCCGTCTGTGCACAGCCGGTGTGTTGGCTTGCTGAGCAAGGCTGACAGCGTCCACAGCAGCACGGACAGCAGTGTCACCAGGCTGCAAACCGGAACTAACTAGCAACCTCTGCTTCAGTTACCATTGGCCTATTTGGACACGTGGCAAAAGATCCTTGCTGTTTAGTATTTAAAATGTGCTTATCATTTGTACTAACTGACCTTTCCTGAAATCACGCAGTACTGAGTTATGTCTTGTTTAAATCTATTCCTACTCCAGAATCTTATCAATACATAAGAAATTTAGGAAGACTAGGTGCTAAAATCCCCAGTGTAATATGTAATACTTGTACATTTTTAGTATCATACAGAACTCAATTCCCAGGAACTATGAACACTCCAGACCTCATGTGGTTTATTCCTTCAGTCATTTCAAACACAGAAGGAGGCTGTGTGCTTGTTTCCCTGCTCATTCTATGTCTGCTTCTCCTATGTTCACACCAGCACACGTCAGGCTGGAGCGCGGTGGCACGATCTCAGCTCACTGAAACCTACGCTTTCTGGGTTTAAGCGATTCTCTTGCCTCAGCCTCCTGAGTAGCTGGGATTATAGGCACACACCACCACGCCTGGCTAATTTTTGTATTTTTAGTAGAGATGGGGTTTCACCATGTTGGCCAGGCTGGTCTTGAACTCCTGAGCTCAGGTGATCCACCCACCTCGACCTCCCAAAGTGCTAGGATTACAGGCGTGAGCCACTGAGCCCGGCCTCATGTCTTTTTATAAATCTTACTTTGTGTTATTATGAAAAACCTCCATAGCCGGGTGTGGTGGCTCACACCTGTAGTCCCCACACTTTTGGGAGGCCGAGGCAGGTGGATCATCTGAAGTCAGGAGTTCAAGACCATCCTGGCCAACATGGTGAGACCCTGTCTCTATTAAAAATACAAAAATTAGCCAGGTGTGGTGGTGCACACCTATAATCCCAGCTGCCTGGGAGGCTGAGGCAGGAGAATCGCTTGAACCTGGAAGGTGGAGGTTGCAGTGAGCCGAAATCACACCACTGCACTTCAGCCTGGGCAACAGAGCGAGACTCTGCCTAAAAAAAAAAAAAAAAAAAAAAAAAGAAAAGAAAAGAAAATCTACATTGTACAGAAGCACGTCTTTGATGGCTTCAGACAAAGTGGCCTCACGGTTAATTTCACATTTGCACGCAGGTGCAACCAACAGGGAGGGCCTGATAGGAACGCGCGGGGCTGTTATTTTTAGCAAAATGCTGCCTTGTGCAGAACGTGTGAAATATGCTCTTTAATTTAGTAAATACTTTTTAAAAGGCAGAAATGCTTATTATAGCTAAAACAATTCTTAAATCATAAAATTTCTGAAACGTCTGTAATTTTTTCCATACTGATTAGAAATTGTTTCCAACTTATTTTTGTTTGAAGTATGACAGTTTTTCCCTTTTCTTCCCAACTTCTCTTGTAAAAAAAGAAGTGGGTTTCTGCTAATGAACTGATCAGATGTCAATACTGTATATGCCTTTTGAGCTGAGTAGCTCAGTATTTGGATACTTGGTCATTTGTTTTATTAGGTAATTGATAAAATTGTGTCACTTATTCATGTTCAACCATATATTTATGCTGTCTGGGGATGGGTGGTTATAGTTCTGTGTGAGAAATAATTTGTCAGTCTTCAACAGCTTGTAAAAACTTTGCAGTGAGAGCTTAAACATCTAAATAAATAATGAAATGCATTTATCATAAAAAAAAGAAGAAAGAAGATGAAGTGACCAACATTAAAACACATCCCTGGCCAGTCAGGGAGTTCATGTGGGTAATCCCAGCACTCTGGGAGGCCGAGGCAAGAAGGATCGCTTGAGCCCAGGAGTTTGAGCAACACCACCCTGGGCAACATGGAGAGACCCTCACAGTGAGACCTGGCAACATAGTGAGACCCCGTCTCTACAAAAAACCAAAATTTAATGAGCTGGGCTGGTGGCATCAGCCTGTAATCCCAGCTACTTGGGAGAGTGAAGTGGGAGGACTGCTTGAGCCCAGAAGTTTGAGACCAGTCTGGGCAACGTGGTGAAACCCCGTTTCTACAAAAAACCTTAAAACAATTAGCCTGGAATGGTGGAGCACACCTGTAGTCCCAGGTACCTGGGAGGCTGAGGTGGGAGGATGGCTTGAGCCTAGGAGGTCGAGGCTGCAGTGAGCTGAGATTGCACCACTGTACTCCAGCCCGGGTGACAGAACGAGATCCCATCTCAAAGACATAAAACTAAAAAAGCATCCCCGAGCTGGGAGAACTGAGGCTGGCTGTGGGTGTGCGGGATAGGGGAGGCTCCCGAGCTGTCCGGCCTCAGCGGCTGGAGCCTCTTGGGACCCACAGATCTGCCAAGGCAGTGAGCAAACTCGGCAGACGTGTTCTCATGGAGATAAATGGCCTGGAAGGAAGCCTCCTGGGACTGTGTTCCCTGCACGGTCGGCTGCGGGTGGGGACAGGCCAGGTTTTCTCTCCTCGTCAGGCTGCAATGCTTCCCGCTGTCCTGGGATGCGAGGACATGGGAGAGCGCTGGCCTCTCCTGGGGGATTCTGGGGCGGTGGCCACGCATGCCTGAGCAGCAGCCAGGCCCCCTTCCTGAGCTTCAGCCTCTGTGTCCACGAAGCAGGATCTAAGGTCCCACCTCTGAGGCTGTGGGAGGATTAAACGGTGGCCCAGCATGGAGCACAGCTCATCCCCTGCAGGGCCCTTATGCGAAAGCATCACGTGGCCACAACAACAGCGAGGTGCATCTCACGGAGCATAACCAGGGGGACCGCCAGGCACCCAGGCCTCCTCCTTAGGACCGGCAGATATGACCCAAGCCTCTGTGCAACTGCCAGAGGCCCGGCTGATGGGGGGCCCTGCTGATGGGGGGCCTGACAGGGGGCCCAGCTGACGGGGGGCCCAGCTGACGGAGGACCCAGCTGATGGGGGCCCGGCTGATGGGGGGCTGGCTGACGGAGGACCCAGCTGATGGGGGGCCCGGCTGACGGGGGCCCGGCTGACGGGGGCCCGGCTGACGGGGGGCCCGGCTGACGGGGGGTCCGGCTGATGGGGGTCCGGCTGACGGGGGGCCCGGCTGACGGGGGGCCCGGCTGACGGGGGGCCCGGCTGATGGGGAGGCCCGGCTGATGGGGAGGCCCGGCTGATGGGGGACCCGGCTGATGGGGGGCCCGGCTAATGGGGGGGCCCGGCTAATGGGGGGCCCGGCTGATGGGGGACCCGGCTGATGGGGAGGCCCGGCTGATGGGGAGGCCCGGCTGATGGGGGACCCGGCTGATGGGGGGGCCCGGCTGATGGGGGGGCCCGGCTGATGGGGGGCCCGGCTGATGGGGGGCCCGGCTGATGGGGACCCGGCTGATGGGGGGCCGGGAAGACAACGGGCTGCTGCGTCATGTGGAATCAAGGTGGGTGTCCTGGGCCAGACGAAGCTTTCAGGGAGGGGCTTGCTCCCAGCCTCCTCCTAGAGAAGCAGGATGGCCACGGCCTGGGGAGTCCCCCTTCACCCTGACCTCCCGCTCCCCCGGGGCAGGGCCTCAGGAAGACCCTCGAAGGCCTGTGGCACCCTGGAGTCTGCGCAGAGCCTTCCAGAGGCTGGGCCCCAGATGCTCCCTCGAGGGAGGACCCCTCGGGTGGGAGGCTCCTGGGAGGAGGCGAGGGCAGCCCTGTTTATGTGCAGCTTACAGGCAGGCATGCACTGTCTGCTGGTCCCTCCCTACTCAGCCCCTTGGCCACATTTCCTGCACAGTGCACGAGCTGGGCACCGAGGCACAGACCTACCCAGTGCAGGGCGAGCAGCCCGGAGCCGAGTCGGATGGCGCCCTACAGCACAGCCAGTGGCCGCTCAGGTAGGCGGACGGGTGGTAGACGGTGAGGCGCTTCTGGTTGCACTGGCTCACTTTGGTGAGAATGTCGATCCAGTCCTTGGCCTCCACGCAGTTGTTGGCCTGGATGTACAGCGCACGCTCTGGCTGGATGACCTGGAACATCTGAGGACACAGGTGGGCTCAGGACAGCGCACATGAGGTCTCGTGGCTGAGCACGTGCAAGAGTCCACCAGGCACCTGGCCGTCCTCGCCGGAGTCGTAAGAGGGGACGCTGAGGGTGCACAGGCCCAAAAGTCCTGGAGCTCTAAGCCCCAGAAGAGGCCAAGGCCAGGGGGTGCATGGAGCTCTCTGCCACCCTAAAACCTGACAGCTGGGGCCGTGGGGAATGGAGGTGAGAACTGGTGCAGCTGGAGATGTGGCCAGGTGGCCAGGAACAGCTTGGCCAAGGCCCTTTATGTCCTGGAGCCTTGGAGGTCTCCATTCAAGACAAAAGAGGGGCCCTGTGGCCTCCCCACAAGGCCCTCCTGCAGCTGACTGCAGGCATCCCATCCACGTGGTGCTCGTGCTGTGTCAGCCCAGGTGGCCCGGCCTGCTCAGCTCCTTCCCCAACTGACCAGCCCAGGATTCTTCCTCCTCCTCCCAGCTGGGGTTAGGGGGCTGCTTCCTCTTGAAGCGTCTCGGGGCAGCAACAACCTTTACCATTTATTACTCATTCAACAAACATGACTGAGCACCAGCACTCTCCTATGTCCCGGAGACAAAGCCTGGCATAGAGTTTCTACTGAACCTGCAGCCACCAAGAAAGACTAAACGAGGGCAGGTGTCAGCAGAAGCTGGAAGTGAGCAGTCCTGGTGCTGTAGTCGGCGTTGACTCAAAGTTAGTTAAGCAGGGGGTGGGGGCAAAGGGTGTCAAAGGCAGAAGAAATGGGAGGCACAAAGGTCCTGGGGCAGGTGGGACAGGGGTCCTGTGATTGGAGGGACAGGTCTCCCGGGGCAGGAGTGACAGAAGCCTTAGGATTAGAGGGACGGGGGTGCTGGGGCAGGGGGGACAGATATCCTAGGATTGGAGGTCAGAAGCTCCCAGAAGGAGCCGGCTCTGTTGCACACAGAAGACAGGTTTTCTGAGTAGGAGACTGACTGGAGGTTGGGAGGGCTCTCATGTGGGACTTGCCCTTAAGTCAGGAGTCAGGGGGACAGTGGCCTTCTCTAGGGGACGGGCCTTCTGCACTCATCTGGGGAGGATTTGGGCTCCAGGTTTCTGGTGAACAGCTGAGGTCTTATTTACAGAGGCCAGGAGCCTCCCGCCTTGCACCCGGCACATGTGTATAGGTCTCGGACTGGACGCCCCCGTGCATGGCTGTGATCCCCCATGGAGGGCGTCCTGGCCATCATCCCAGGCTCGGCCCTGCCACCAGGAGCAGCCTTCAGAAAGGTCTCCCCAGCTGGTGAGAGCCTGGCCTGGCAGTGGCCTCAGGGGAATCGGGCTCTGAGGAAGTCAGTGGGAATGAACAGCTGGGAACAGGCGGCTGAAACTAGGGAATTATTGGGAATCTATGTGAAGGGCTGGAGGTGCTTCCAGGACATGTCCACACTGCTTCCTTCGAGGGACGGTCTCAGGGCCAGGTTCCGGCCATCCCCCTCAGTCAGCAGGCATTGAGCCCACACCCTCCTCTTCCCATCTCCCCCTCTTCCCAACCCTTCTCTTCCCAGCCCTCCTCTTCCCAGCCCTCCTCTTCCCATGCCCTCCTCTTCAAATTACTCTCCAAACTTATGCCTTTTGCAGGATCTGTCTGGACTGCCTGTGAATAACATGCTAGTAAAATTCTGCCAATGGTAAGGAACATGCGTCAACTTTGGCACGAGGCCCAGGGACTGTGCCTTCCCTGCAACTGTTCTATGACCCTCATGCTGCAGTCGGGGCACAGAAGGCTTGTCCCAGCCAGCATGTGTCAGGGTACGGGGTCAGCCTCAGGATGGCACGGACGGCGGGGTCACTGGCTGAAGGGGCACTGAGTCACCAGGGAGAACGTGGCCAGCGGCCGACTCTGGGAGGCCACCACACAATGGTGACGCCACGGACACCTCTAGGGGATTCCCGCCAGAAATGCATCATCAGAACCTGCCACGTCGGCACATCCGACAAACCCACAGGGAGGGATGTCCAGAAAACCGAAGGCCTGCACGCCTCAAAGATGCCAAGGCCACCACACACAAAGAAAGGCTGGGAGTGTCCAGTGGGCCAGACGGAGGGGGCAGCAGAATGCAGCGCAGACTGGATCCAGAGGGGAAGGAACCACAGCCGGAAGAACGGGACTGGACAGCGGCAAACTCGAATGTGGTCGCGCCGGCGACGTGCGATGGTGGCTGCTGTGGTTTTGGGGACTGCACGGTGGGAAACACACTTGGAAGTGTTGATACATTCAGAAAAGCACGGGCGGGACCGTGAAGGGAGAAGGAACAAGTGTGACTGGGGAACGAGGCGACATGTGGGTCCGGGTCAAGCGTGACCGGGGAACGAGGCCACACGTGGGCCCGGGTCAAGCGTGACCGGGGAACGAGGCCACACACGGGTCTGGGTCAAGGGTGTGTGGAAAGTACTTGTTCTACTCGTGCAACTTCTATAAATTCAAAATTATATCAAAATAAAAAAGCTTCCAAAAGGAATTCCAGACGGTCCCAAGCCTGCTTCTGGGATGTCTTTGACAGAGGGCCCCTTGACATTGGGGACCCTGCGGGGGACGCCACCTGAAGCAGCTCAGGCCCCACCTTCCGGCAGGTTCCACCCCACCCCGGTGACCCCGGGCACAGAGAGTGTGGCTGCTTTGATGCGAGATTCCGACACAAACTCACCAGCACCTGGTGAACAACCCGAGTAACACGAAGACTCTGAGAAGCCTGGAGTGCAGTGGGTGGGGAAGGGTGAGCCCAGGGCCAGGTACGGGAAGAGAGCAGAGAAAACCTGGCCAGGCCTCAACCCGAAAGAGAGGCTTGGGGGCCCCACACTCACGTTTTTCATTTTGAAAGACTCCTCCTCCAGCTTCTCCACTGCCAGGATGTTCTCGATGGGAATGCTGTAGAGAGGCTGGTCCCCTGCAGCAGAGATGGACTGTCAGTGGGTGCGGGCCCCGCTGTCCCGGCTGGGGTCCGGGTGGGGCTGAGGGGTCTCTGCCGGGGGGTCTCCCAGGGGGTCTTTACCGGGGGGTCTCTGCCAGGGGGTCTCTACCGGGGGGTCTCTGCCAGGGGGTCTCTGCCAGGGGGTCTCTACCGGGGGTCTCTGCTGGGGGGGTCTCTGCCAGGGGGTCTCTGCCAGGGGTCTCTACCGGGGGTCTCTACCGGGGGGGGTCTCTGCCAGGGGGTCTCTGCTGGGGGGTCTCTGCTGGGGGGGGGTCTCTGCTGGGGGGGTCTCTGTCAGGGGATCTCTACCGGGGGGTCTCTGCTGGAGGGTCTCTGCTAGAGGGTCTCTGCTGGGGGGTTCTCTGCTGGGGGGGGGTCTCTGCCAGGAGGGTCTCTGCTGGGCGGTCTCTGTTGGGGTGGTCTCTGCCAGGAGGGTCTCTGCTGGGGGGGGTCTCTGTTGGGGGTGTCTCTGCTGGGGGTCTCTGCCAGCTGGGGGTCTCTGCTGGGGTGCCCTGGGCCGGAGGAGGTGCCCCATGTTCATCTCCTTGGGGATGATGGCTGAATCACTGACAGGCTGCAGGTGCGGGGGCTGAGGAAGCCTGGGACCCACCTGGCCCTGCCATGCACCCAGGCTGGGCCCAATGCTCGCATCCTCACAGCTGCCGTGGCCTCAGGCTCTGTCCCCAGAACATGTTCCCGTTCTGGGACATGAACATGGGAGAAACTGCTAGATATTTCCTAATCTAGATCTGAGCCAGCAGATCTGACAGCGAGGGGCAGGAGGTGGTGGGAAGCCCCGTCTACCTCGGCGGAGCGGCACCCTGGCCATGACGAGGCGACCAGAGGAGGAAGGGACGTGGACAGAAAAGCACCTTACTGATGTGGTCAGCTCTGCGTTTACTGGTTCTCTGGGGAAGCAGATTTCCCTCACTTTCCAGCAGCAGGTCTGAAAGACCCCTTCAGGGATCTTTGAAGGGAGAACCAGAAGCAGAGGGCTCTGGGTCACCGCGGCCCCGGGCTCTGCCCGCAGCACTGAATCCTTCCTCCCCTCAGCTCTCCCCCTGAAAAAGCAGACTCAGTCCCAGGGCCCAGCACGCTCCAGCAAGAGCCAGGGAAAGCGACCTTGCTCCTTACCTTTGCTTTTGTGGTAGGTAAATTCATGGTTGGTCAAGCGAAACCATCTCTTCTTAAAATTCTTCATCCCAAAGCGCTTCCGTCCTTGGGCCCTCTTGATCATGAACCTGTGTGAAGAGCACACAGGGCCGGGGTCCGGGCCTCAGCTGCCTCCCTGCACAGGTGAAAAACCACACCCCCCACTTTCTGCGTTCTGAGACCTGAGGCAGGCAGTGGATTTTCAATATCTTATCATTTTACTCCGAGTGATGAGATTAAAATTGGAAGGCAATGCCTCTCCTTTGAAAAGTTGAGCGCTGACTGCTTTGAGTCACCAGTTGGTGATGGCACCAGGTTTTAGGAGATCTCCAACCCTCCTGCCTCCCACACTGAACTTTCAACAGTGGTGCTGCCACTGGAAATGCCAATGCGATGCTCCCACGGCGGACCTGCGGCCGTGGGCTCAGGGTCAGGGAGGGCAGCGGACGCCCACACAACACGGAGGACCTGCGGCCGCGGACCTGGGATCAGGGTGGGCAGTGGACGCCCACACAACATGGAGGACCCGCGGCCGCGGGCTCGGGGTCAGGGCGGGCAGTGGACGCTCACACACAGAGGACCTACGGCCGCGGGCTCGGGGTCAGGGTGGGCAGTGGACACTCACGCAACATGGAGGACCTACAGGCGCGGGCTCGGGGTCAGGGCAGGCAGTGGACGCTCACACACAGAGGACCTACAGCCGCGGGCTCAGGGTCAGGGCGGACAGTGGATGCCCACACAACACAGAGGACCTACGGCCACAGGCTCGGGGTCAGGGCGGGCAGTGGATGCCCACACAACACGGAGGACCTGCGGCCGTGGGCTCGGGGTCAGGGCAGGCAGCGGACGCTCACACACGGAGGACCTGCGGCCGCGGGCTCGGGGTCAGAGCGGGCAGCAGACGCCCATACTCAGAGGACCTGCAGCCACAGGCTTGGGGCCGGGGCAGGCAGCAGACGCCCACAAAACCCACACCTGTGTTGTGCGGGAGTCACGCACCAGCGCCTCTGCCAGACCAAACCTGCCCCCTCAGGGCCAGCCCTGCTGTGGTAGAAGGCGCCACTGGGCCACGTCCTCAGGAAACGTGGGGAGCAGGAGACAGGATGGCCACCGAGGATGCAAGGCCTCAGCGAGGAGGACCTCAAGCCTTGCCCTGGGCAGGGTCCTCGAACACCCTCCCGGCAGCCCAGGGCCCTCTGAGGCTCGGCCTTCATTGCCGGGCAGGGGTCCCTGACCAGAACCGGCGGCCGAGCTGGAGGAGAAGAAAGTGGCCAGACAGAGTGACTGGAGGACAGAGGTGGAAGCTGAGGACGAGAAGCCAAGCTGGAGAGACAGAGTGGGGAGGTGGGCGGGGGAGACGCACCTCGACAAGCGCACTCAGAAATCGGAAAGAGGGGCTTTGAGCAGCAACACAGCCAGATGTGGCCAGAGAGCTGTGGACGCACACCGGAGGGTGTGGAAGCTGCTGGGAGCTGTTCAAGAGAGAAAAGGGCGGGGCGCTGGGAGCCGCCAGGACAGCGCAGTTCACAACCAGTGGATGCCGAACGCCGTTCATTCCAGGGATTCACAGGCAGGAAGTCAGCCCAGGAGGCTGTTGAGGACCAGCAGGACCCAGTGGGATGCGCAGGGCGGGGCCTACACAGACGGGGGTTGGGGGGGGACTGGGAGCTCCACGACATGCCGGCCTCCTTGAGGGCAACAGGGCGCCTCTGAGAAGACTCTGGACCATGTAGCAGTTAGATTTGAGTAGCAGTCTTGTTATAAATGTTTTCGGCTTTAGGATTTTTTTAAGAACCCCAACTTTCTGAGGGCCTTCAGTGGATGAGGCTGCATGTGAATTTTATGTGCAGTTTCCAGGTTAAGGCAGCACTGAGTGGAGAGAAGCCAGTGGCTCCTCACTGCACAGCTCTGGTCTGGGCGCCTGGCTCTCCAGGAGTCGGTTTTCTAACCGGGCCCATCGCGCGTGTGGGACGGGGAGGCAGGAGCCACGGCTAAGCCGGAAGCCTCAGGCTGAAAGCAGCTCGGCCCCGCGCAGCCACGGCCAACTCAACTCAGCAAACACACGCTGCGCTGCAGAGGCCCCGTCCCCAGTCCTGTGTCCCAGTGGGTGAGGACACACACAGCCCTGAGAGACGGCAGAGGTGTGGGAGCATCTCAGCACAGGGTGAGCCCTCAGGAAACATGGTCATCACCACCCCCACACATGGACGAACATGGCAAGACACACTTGGCACCAAGGGCTGAGATGGCAGAACCGAGGCCCTAGGACGGCCCATGCTTGCACAACCGAGGGTGGCCCTAGGTTTGGGGATGTGACAGAGCTGAGGTGCCGGAGGAGAAGCTGATCCAGGGGCTGGAAACTCGAGGGCCTGATGGACCAAAACCTTGGTGTGAGTCGCAGGTGGTGCAGCTGCTGGAAGGAGCTGGTGGAGCCTCAGCTGCATCCAGGGCACCTGGGAGGCGCCTGTCCTTGAACCTCTGGCTGGTGGCACCTGGGAGGCGCCTGTCCTTGAACCTGTATCTACAGCAGCTTCTCGGCGTCAGACACACAAGCCCTGAGTGTCCTGTGTTGCTTTAGGGATTACAGGATGAATATCTGTTGCTTTGAAAGCTGTGAATTTATGAAATGTAGAAAGTAAAAAGTTTCCTCTTCAAAGTTTCCCTTCTTGTTAAAGAATAAATCATAAGTGTTAGAAATAATAGTTTCTTTTAAAGACTAACTTCCTTCAAGCCTCCTTGCTTTGTGCTAATAACTCTTTGTTAAGCTCTATCCTGTGTAGCTGTTGGACGTGCCCACAGGCTCGTAATATATTCTGTGTCCTTGTACCTTAACCAAGGCAATTGTGTTAGACGTACTCATAGGCATGTCCCAGCTCACAGCCTATGCCCCTTCCTTATTTAAACATATTATTATTTTTCTACCTATTTAAAAAAGTTTTAAATTATTAGCCAATCAGGTCTTAATTTAGATTGTGAGGTCCGGCTCCAGGCAATGGGGACAGGACACGACAACAGGAACCTCGTGCGTAAGGAATAAATATTCTGGCGTCTCTTTATTCTGTGTGTGCCCTTGCCATTACTCCTTCTGCCAGGGACACCCTTTCTGCAGAAAGTAAAAATTGCCTCGCTGAAAGAACTTTTTGTCTAAATGCTAATTTTTCCTTATGGCACCGAAGAACAAACATTTTGCATTTCTAACATGAAATGTGTGTATTGCAAATGTTATTGGTTAATATATGATTAAGTTAAATGAAGGTGATTTTAAGAAAAATAGCAATGTAAGTAATGCCACTGGGGTATGGTCCACCAGTGACCCAGAGATGATCCAGGTTTCAGCAGATGGCTCTAACAGAGTATCCACAAAAATAGACAAATGGGACTTAATTAAACTAAACAGCTTCTGCACAGCAAAATAAATAACCAACAGAGCAAACAGACGACCTGCAGAATGGGAGGATATTTGCAAAGCACAGATCCAACAGGGGACTAACAGCCACAATTTAGAAGGAACTCAAACAACTTAACAAAAAAAATAAAAATTAAAAAAAAATTTAAAAGTGGCCAAAGGACAGGGGGATAGACGTTTTTCAGAAGACAAATGGCCAACAAGCATACGATATAAAGCCCAGCGTGGCTCATCACCTGAGGAATGAGAGCCAGAGCTGCCTGTGACCCCACCTCACGCCAGGCAGAACGAAGCCACCTGCGACCCCAGCTCACGCCAGGCAGAATGGAGCCGCCTGAACCCAGCTCACGCCGGGCAGAATGGCTGGGATCAAATAAAACACGGAAAAATGACAGACGCTGCAGAGCTGTGGAGGACGTGAGCGCTTGCACGCTGTGGGGAATGGAAATTAGCGCTTAAGGAAACCCACGGAGATTTCTCAAGAAGCTAAAGGCAGAGCTGCCATTCGATCCAGCAATCCCACACCAGGCCCCACCCAAAGGAAGAGCAATTACCAAAAAGACACCTGCATGCGTACGTTTACCGCTGAACCACTCACAACAGCAAAGACACGGAATCCACGTGTCCACCAACGGACGACTGGATAAAGAAAACGTGGCATAAATACACCACGACATGCTACTCCACCATCAAGAGGAAGGAAATCTTATGTTTTCCAGCAACGTGAACGGAACTAGAGGTTGTTATCTTAAGGGAGATGACTCAGAGACGAAAAGCCAAACGCCCCATGTTCTCACTGGTCCATAGGAGATAAACACGGAGGGGCGGGGCGCTCTGGGACACGTATTCGGAATCACAGACTGAGGCCTCGGAAGGGTGGAGGTGGGAGCGGGAGAGGAATGAGAAATTACTCAGTGGGCACAAAGTGCCCGTTCAGGTGACGGTTTCACGAGAAGCCCCATCCAATACAACTGCACTTGTGCCCGACATGTTGGCAAACACATAAAAAATACAGGAACATGGTCCACACCAGGCAGAGCAAAGCCCCGAGCGGGAGTGGGAGCCGGGCCACAGGACGGGGTTGGTGGAAACGGGCAGACGTGTCAGTTATGTAAGGAAGGTTGATGGGCTCTGATGCTCCAGGGACCTCTGGGTGGAGGTTGAGGGAGGACAGGCCTGTGTCAGAAACACGGGGTGGCTGTGGGACACAGACGTCCCCCTCCAAGGTCACCGAGAAGGTGGCAGAGGGGTCCCAGGCTGAAGGCGCAGGGGCCAGACCCCCAGGGCTGTCCCCTCTGACTCTGGTTCCCTGAGCAAAGAGCCCTCGGGAGCCTGGAGGGAAGGCCAGCCCCAAGTGCGGGTGTGGACAACACGGCCAGTGGTACAGAAATCACAAGGCTGCTGGCCAGCAAGGGAGGAGGCTGCCCCCGACTAGGGAATCTTCTGGAATGTGCTGGGTGCTCTGGGGACTGGGGGCCCCCATCCCTTTCTCCCCTCCGGCCCTGCCGGATGCCACCTTACCCTTCTCCCCCCTCCTGCCCTGCCGGACACCACCTTACCCTTCTCCCCTCCTGCCCTGCCGGACGCCACCTTACCCTTCTCCCCTCCTGCCCTGCCGGACACCACCTTACCCTTCTCCCCCCTCCTGCCCTGCCGGACGCCACCTTACCCTTCTCCCCACTCCTGCCCTGCTGGATGCCACCTTACCCTTCTCCCCTCCTGCCCTGCCGGACGCCACCTTACCCTTCTCCCCTCCTGCCCTGCCGGACGCCACCTTACCCTTCTCCCCCCTCCTGCCCTGCCGGACGCCACCTTACCCTTCTCCCCTCCTGCCCTGCCGGACGCCACCTTACCCTTCTCCCCACTCCTGCCCTGCTGGATGCCACCTTACCCTTCTCCCCTCCTGCCCTGCTGGACACCACCTTACCCTTCTCCCCTCCTGCCCTGCCGGACGCCACCTTACCCTTCTCCCCACTCCTGCCCTGCCGGATGCCACCTTACCCTTCTCCCCTCCTGCCCTGCTGGACACCACCTTACCCTTCTCCCCTCCTGCCCTGCCGGACGCCACCTTACCCTTCTCCCCCCTCCTGCCCTGCCGGACGCCACCTTACCCTTCTCCCCACTCCTGCCCTGCCGGACGCCACCTTACCCTTCTCCCCACTCCTGCCCTGCCGGATGCCACCTTACCCTTCTCCCCTCCTGCCCTGCTGGACACCACCTTACCCTTCTCCCCTCCTGCCCTGCCGGACGCCACCTTACCCTTCTCCCCCCTCCTGCCCTGCCGGACGCCACCTTACCCTTCTCCCCACTCCTGCCCTGCTGGACGCCACCTTACCCTTCTCCCCACTCCTGCCCTGCCGGATGCCACCTTACCCTTCTCCCCTCCTGCCCTGCTGGACACCACCTTACCCTTCTCCCCTCCTGCCCTGCCGGACGCCACCTTACCCTTCTCCCCCCTCCTGCCCTGCCGGACGCCACCTTACCCTTCTCCCCACTCCTGCCCTGCTGGATGCCACCTTACCCTTCTCCCCTCCTGCCCTGCTGGACACCACCTTACCCTTCTCCCCTCCTGCCCTGCCGGACGCCACCTTACCCTTCTCCCCACTCCTGCCCTGCCGGATGCCACCTTACCCTTCTCCCCTCCTGCCCTGCTGGACACCACCTTACCCTTCTCCCCTCCTGCCCTGCCGGACGCCACCTTACCCTTCTCCCCACTCCTGCCCTGCCGGATGCCACCTTACCCTTCTCCCCTCCTGCCCTGCTGGACACCACCTTACCCTTCTCCCCACTCCTGCCCTGCCGGACACCACCTTACCCTTCTCCCCACTCCTGCCCTGCCGGATGCCACCTTACCCTTCTCCCCTCCTGCCCTGCTGGACACCACCTTACCCTTCTCCCCACTCCTGCCCTGCCGGACACCACCTTACCCTTCTCCCCTCCTGCCCTGCCGGACGCCACCTTACCCTTCTCCCCTCCTGCCCTGCCGGACGCCACCTTACCCTTCTCCCCCCTCCTGCCCTGCCGCCCCCCTCCTGCCCTGCCGGACACCACCTTACCCTTCTCCCCTCCTGCCCTGCCGGACGCCACCTTACCCTTCTCCCCCCTCCTGCCCTGCCGGACGCCACCTTACCCTTCTCCCCTCCTGCCCTGCTGGACGCCACCTTACCCTTCTCCCCTCCTGCCCTGCCGGACACCACCTTACCCTTCTCCCCTCCTGCCCTGCTGGACACCACCTTACCCTTCTCCCCTCCTGCCCTGCCAGACGCCACCTTACCCTCCTTACCCTTCTTTAAGCACGATGGGCTGCTCAACACTCTTGGGGTCTCTTCTCCCCGAGGACGAAATCAGATCCAAGAACTAAAGTTGGAAGAAATCAGGTCACCGGGAGGAAGCCACACATCTGACGTGCACGGCTCTCTGTATAACAACAGCGTCGGCGGCTACTGCCTCCTTTGTAATACCAGTGGAGACAGAATCTGGGCAAGTGAGTCCTTCCCCGAGGGCTGTGGGGCCTCTGCTCCCCACTGTGCCACCCCAGCCCCGGCACTGCCACAGAGATCTCAGGTGAGAGGCCGGGCTCAGGCAACACCTGGGGATCAACCTGCATCTCCAGAGGCCACCCAGGGGTGACTCTAAGCAGGGAATCTGGGTCCCGGTAGTGAGGAGGCTCAGGCATCCCTGACTGTGGGGAGGAGCAGAGCCCTGGGGCCTGGAGGTTGCCCCCACGCACCGCGTTCCTGACTGTGGGGAGGAGCAGAGCCCTGGGGCCTGGATATTCCCCCCACGCACCGCGTTCCTGACTGTGGGGAGGAGCAGAGCCCTGGGGCCTGGAGGTTGCCCCCACGCACCGCGTTCCTGACTGTGGGGAGGAGCAGAGCCCTGGGGCCTGGATATTCCCCCCACGCACCGCGTTCCTGACTGTGGGGAGGAGCAGAGCCCTGGGGCCTGGAGGTTGCCCCCACGCACCGCGTTCCTGACTGTGGGGAGGAGCAGAGCCCTGGGGCCTGGATATTCCCCCCACGCACCGCGTTCCTGACCGTGGGGAGGAGCAGAGCCCTGCGGTCTGGATGTTCCCCACACACCGCGTTCCTGACCGTGGGGAGGAGCAGAGCCCTGCGGTCTGGACGTTCCCCACGCACCGCGTTCCTGACTGTGGGGAGGAGCAGAGCCCTGCGGTCTGGACGTTCCCCACGCACCGCGTTCCTGACTGTGGGGAGGAGCAGAGCCCTGGGGCCTGGAGGTTGCCCCCACGCACCGCGTTCCTGACTGTGGGGAGGAGCAGAGCCCTGGGGCCTGGATATTCCCCCCACGCACCGCGTTCCTGACTGTGGGGAGGAGCAGAGCCCTGCGGTCTGGACGTTCCCCACGCACCGCGTTCCTGACTGTGGGGAGGAGCAGAGCCCTGCGGTCTGGACGTTCCCCACGCACCGCGTTCCTGACTGTGGGGAGGAGCAGAGCCCTGCGGTCTGGACGTTCCCCACGCACCGCGTTCCTGACTGTGGGGAGGAGCAGAGCCCTGCGGTCTGGACGTTCCCCACGCACCGCGTTCCTGACTGTGGGGAGGAGCAGAGCCCTGCGGTCTGGACGTTCCCCACGCACCGCGTTCCTGACTGTGGGGAGGAGCAGAGCCCTGTGGTCTGGATGTTCCCCACGCACTGCGTTCCTGACTGTGGGGAGGAGCAGAGCCCTGCGGTCTGGATGTTCCCCACGCACCGCGTTCCTAACTGTGGGGAGGAGCAGAGCCCTGCGGTCTGGATGTTCCCCACGCACCGCGTTCCTGACACTGAGTCTGCAGCCCCAGGGCTCCACGACTGCAGCCTAGAGTGAGTCCGGCCACCACACACACTGAGGTGGGACGCGCCCTCATTCGGGGGGCTCAGACACAGAACAAGATGGGCGAGGGCCCCGTTTTGGCCCCAAAGGCAGTCACGCCAAAGAGTTTACCAACTGTGGGAGGAGGTGTCCCAGGACTTGGGACAAGGCTGTCTGGACAGCGCTGTGAATGCACCGAACGCCTTTATTGTTTAAAATCGCTAATGGCCAAGTCTGTGTCATGTGGGTTCTATCTCAATTTTAAAAGAGAACTCCGTCTCCTGAGCACGGCACACGGGCGGTCGGAGGGTGAGTCGATACTTACGTTCTTCACCGCATCAGCATATTTCTGCTCATTGAAGAATTCATAAAATGTAGCCATGTAGGACTCCTTAAAACTCGCCTAAAATGAAACGGAGATCACTCGAGGACAGCCCGAAGTACCTCGGCTCACGGCCCAAATCTGAAAAAGCTAGAGGCAAGAACTGTCCAAGCCTAAATGACGATAAACAGGCAAAGAACCCGGTGTTACCGGGCAAGTGAGAGCCCGCAGGGCTGCCCGGAGGACGAATCACATAAATCGCTCAGGCGCCAACGAAGACCATCAGACCTGCCAGTGCCCGTGAGGTCTCCAAGCACCCTTTGGCATCAGTGACTCCGTCCTGGCCCCGGGCTGTCCCTCACACCTGGGTCCCAGGCTCATGAAGAGGTACGTTGGGGCCCAGATGTGGCTGCCTGGGAACCTGGAGTCATAGGCCAGGGTCCCAGAGCCCCCACGCCCATCTCTCGCCCGTGGGGCATAAGGGCCGCTCTGAGGTGGGAAGAGGGGGCAGGGACCTCCATCACACGGGGAAGTGGAGGCACCCAGGGATTCGGGGGGGCCTTTGCAGCCACCATTCCTGAGGCTCGACCCCAAGTTCCTGTTGTTTCCACACTGAGGTCACTGCACAGTTCCCTGGCTGTGAAATGAGGTGGGTTTGGTGCAGACCTCGGAGGAGGCTCAAGTGCCTGTTATGGAGTTTCCAGCCCACAGCGCAGGGCCTGGCTGGTGGGAAAGAGCGGTCGGTGCACCTCGGCCTGCCTGCGAGTGTGGCACATCTTTTACTCACTCGGACTCAGAGAAACCCAACGTTTGCCCCAAGCGGGCTGCTCCTCCAGTGGGGGCCTCTGCTCCCCAAAGCCCTCATTTCTACCTGGGCCCCACCAAGAACAGGGAACCAGGAGGCCTGGGCATCTGTGCACCACAGCCCAGCCCTCTCCAGACGGAGCCCCGAGGGGGCCCGAAGGCATCGAACTGCCCTGGCCTGGCCCCTGCAGAGACAGCCTTGGGCCTCACCAGGAGCACTGCCCCCGGGACGCCTCAAACGTCAGCTCTGACCCCCTCAAACACACAAGGTGCTCTTAGGGGGAAATGGGGCAGATGCCTGAGGGACTCCTGACCTGGTGGCACCAGATCCAGTCTGAAGGGACGAGGATGGAGGACGGAGGTTCATATCCACAGGGAGAGAGGGGCCCTGGGAGGAGGGGGCCGCGTGGGGAGGGGAGCGCCACGTTGGGAGGAGGCGGCCGCTTGGGGAGGAAGCGCCACGTGGGGAGGAGGCGGCTGCGTGGGGAGGGAAGTGGGGAGGAGGGGGCTGCATGGGGAGGTAGTGCAGCATGGGGAGGAGGGGGCCATGTGAGGAGGAGGGGGCCGCGTGGGGAGGTGGGGAGGAGGGGGCCGCGTGGGGAGGAGGGGGCCGCGAGGGGAGTAGGGGGCTGCGTGACGAGGAGCCTCCAGCACCGCAACGCCCAGGAGGCGCCAGGTTAGGCCATCTGCCTGGCCTGTTCAGCCGCTTCCCACACCTGACAGGTCAGATGCTGCTCCTGCCACGGGGCCGGCGACGAGCCACAGGCTCCCGAAAAAGGCAAGGGGTTCACTTTAGGAGGGGAGAGGTGAGCGGGACGGGGACGCTCAGGTCCTGGGTTTCAAGAGAGGATGTGGTGCCGGCTTTGATTCTTGATCTTTATCTTACGACTCTCTCAAATGTGGGAGGTTTTTCACGTGTATTTTCTGAAGAGAGAAAAGAATCAGTTGTCCCTAAAAAGAGAAAATGAAGAAGAGGGACTCACAGATTTGGACTTGGACAGGCTGCCGAGGGTCTGAACGGTCTTGGAGATCAATGTCAGCGTCCTGGACGTCTGGGGGTCCTGGGGAGGCGGGAGCAAGAAAGGTCTATGTCAGCATCACAGAAATGCTGTGACTGTCCCAGATCGAGGGGACGAAATGCAGGAGTCACCTCAGAGCTGCTGTGGCTTGTGCATGAGCTACGGAGAAACAGGGGTAGCGACGCAGATGGGACTGGAGGGGGTGGGCGTCCCACAGTCTCAGGAGCTGCTGAGACCATCCCGCAGGCAACATCCGACGGCACCGCGGTGACCCACTCTCTCGGCCCAGCGTGCAGGGTGCATCTCAAAGTCGAAAGCATCAGGTGGGGTCATGGCTCTGGGGCGCTGAGTCTCGGGGTGCTGAGTCTCCTGGCCCTGCCTGGGGCTCATCTCAGCCTTCACAGGGTTTGAAGGTTCAACTCAGAAGTGCTGGGGGCCGGGCTTGGTGGCTCACGCCTGTAATCCCAGCACTTCGGGAGGCCGAGGCAGGTAGATCACTTGAGGTCAGGAGTTCGAGACCAGCCTGGCCAACATGGTAAAACCCCATCTCTAATAAAAATACAAAATTAGCTGGGCGTGGTGGCGCACGTCTGTAATCCAAGCTACTAGGGAGGCTGACGCACGAGAATTGCTTGAACCCAGGAGGCAGAGGTTGCAGTGAGCTGAGATGGTACCACTGCACGCCAGCCTGGTGACAGAGCAAGACTCTGTCTCAAAAAAAAAGAAGTGCTGGGGAATGGGCAATCCCTCACGTCCTCTCGCCCTGGCCATCTCCTTCCAGCTCTGCCACCCGCACGTGCAACACGGTCACCCCAGATCCCTGTACCCTGAGAGCTGCGGCCCCAGCAACCACATTGGGGCCTGGAGAAAATCAGTGCTAAATAGGAATCTGTTGACTCAATACACGGATGATACGCCGATCATCAATACTCCATATGTGATGGGCAGGGGAGGAGAGCAGGGCGGTGACCAGCAGCTAAAACCCTGGACAAACCGTCCACTGCTTTTGTGACACTGTCTCGACTCCCCCAGAACGTACACAGCTTAAATAGGTCGGTGAACCACCTGCAACGAGGACGTTCCAGGACCCAGCGCATCCACCAGCACTCCCCACGCACCGTCCACACACTCCACACACACTCCACACGCACTCCCCATTCCACACACCTTCCACACTCCCCGTGCACCGTCCACACACTCCACACACACTCCCCATTCCACACGTCTTCCACACTCCCCACTCCCCATGCACCGTCCACACACACTCCCCATTCCAAACGCACTCCCCACTCACTCATTACACACACTCCCCACGCATTCCACACACACTCCTCATTCCATGCACACTCCCCATGCATTCCACACACACTCCCCATTCCACACACACTCCTCATTCCACGCACACTCCCCACTCACTCCTCATTCCACACACACTCCCCATTCCACACGCCTTCCACACTCCCCACACACTGTCCACGCACTCCACACACTCCTCATTCCACACACACTCCCCATTCCACACACACTCCCCACTCACTCATTCCACACACACTCCCCATTCCACATGCCTTCCACACTCCCCACGCAGTCCACGCACTCCACACACTCCTCATTCCACAAACACTCCCCATTCCACACACACTCCCCACTCACTCCTCATTCCACACACACTCCCCATTCCACATGCCTTCCACACTCCCCACGCAGTCCACGCACTCCACACACTCCTCATTCCACAAACACTCCCCATTCCACACACACTCCCCACTCACTCCTCATTCCACACACACTCCCCACTCACTCCTGATTCCTCACACACTCCCCACGCATTCCACACTCCACACGGTCGGCCCCCTACAGCCACGCAGATGCCCCAACCCAGGCCGGCGTCGCAGGACAGCTCAGAAAGCCTCGGTCCCTCAGCCGGTCACTCACCGTGTGGTGCGGCGTGAGCTGGAAGAGGTTGGGGGAGAGAATGGCGGGCGCAAAGAACCTCAGGAAGATGAAGCTGCTCACTGCAGTGTACCTGACGTCCGGGTCATCTGCGGGAGAGAGAAGCAGGGTGACCGTTTTCCTCGGGCACAATGGCCTCGTGGGGACACCATGCCCCGGCCCCCTGAGGGTCCGCAGGGAAGTCCAGCCACAGTCCTGGCTCTATCTCCACCTGTGTCTGTCTCTCTCCCTCTCTCTGTTTCCCTCTCTCCCTCTCTCTGTTTCCCTCTCTCTCTCCATCTCTCTGTCTCTCCCCCTTTGTCTCTCTCCCTGTCTCTCTCCGTATCTCTGTCTCTCTCTCTCTCCCTCTATTTGTCTCTCTCTCATCTCTCTGTCTCTCTCCCTCTCTTTGTCCCTCTGTCTCTCTCCCTATCTCTGTCTCTCTCTCTCTCTCTCCGTCTCTGGCTCTCTCCCCCCCTCCATCTGTCTCTCTCTCTCTCCATCTCTTTGTCTCTCTCCCTCTTTGTCCCTCTCCCTGTCTCTCTCCCTATCTCTGTCTCTCTCTCTCTCTCCCCCTCTCTCTCTCCGTCCGTCTGTCTCTGGCTCTCTCTCTCTCTCTCCATCTCTCTGTCTCTCTCCCTCTCTGTCTCTCTCCCTAACTCCATCTCTCTCTCCCCGTCTCTTTCTCTCCGTCTGTCTCTCTCTCCATCTCTCTGTCTCTCTCCCTGTCTCTCTCCCTATCTCTGTCTCTCTCTTTTTCTCTCTTTCTCTGTCTCTCTCTCTCCGTCTCTCTCTCCCTGTCTCTATCTCTCTGTCTCTCTCTCTCTCTCTCCGTCTCGATCTCTCTCTCCATCTCTCTCCGTCTGTCTCTGTCTCTCTCCATCTCTCTCTCTCCGTCTCTATCTCTCTCTCCGTCTGTCTCTGCCTCTCTCTCCGTCTGTCTCTGCCTCTCTCTCCGTCTCTCCCTGTCTCTCTCTCTCTCTCCTTGTCTCTCTCTGTCTCTCTCCTTCTGTCTCTGCCTCTCTCTCCATCTCTCCCTGTTTCTCTCCATCTCTCATCACCACCACACAGCGCAGCCCCTTTGGTGTCTCATTCCACAGTGGTCTGTGCTCATCTGGGTGAGAGGATGTGTTTTATCTCTTCACTTCCACCTTGTTCAAAGTGGGTCTGGGGCTGGGATGTGCTTGGGAACTGCCTCCCCCAGAACCCTGGGCCCCTCGGCCGGCGCTGTCTGACTGTCTGATGTCCTGAGAATCAGGGGTGGGGACAGCGTTTGTCTCCTGGGGACACAGAAGCGTGGACGGCTCTGCAGGACCATGGCCACCCCGGGGTGTCTGCAGCTGTCCCGAGGCCACAGGACACGCAAGGAAGAGAGGAGCCGGCAGCAAGGCCCTCGCTGAGCCTCTCAGCGCCCCATACATAGCCTGAGTCCTGGCGGGGTCTTGAGTATCGCAGGTGATGGGTGGGTGCAGGCACCCAGCTCCTCCCTGAGGGTCGGCAAGGTTGAGAAGTGGGGTTTGGGTGCTGGATGCCCAGGTCCCTAGGGGATCTCCGGCTTGGGGGTTTGAAGAAAGGGCAGCTCCCCCAGGGGTCCTGTCTCTTCGAAGACACGGGCAGGCAGAGCCCCCAACACCACTCTGGGCCCTGCCAGGGTCGGCCACAAAAAGAAACCACTGGGAAAACCCAGGGGTCCACATCAGGAAAATTCACATTCCACCCCGACAAAGCCTGGCCACCCTTCCCGGCCCCCCCAGAGACCACTGTGGTCGTGAACTCCAGGGCTGGGCCCCTCTAGAGACCACTGCGGTGGTGATCTCCAGGGCTGGGGTCCCCTGGAGACTACTGTGGAGGTGAACTCCAGGGCTGGGGTCCCCCAGAGACCACTGCGGTTGTGAACTAGGGAACACTGGCCCGGGCACAAACCCCGGAAAAATCCAGCATCGGAACTGGGGTTCACGACCCCGCAGTTCTAGTCTAGCCAGGGCTGCGGGGGGTTCTGCCTGGGTGGGAGTCACCCTGCACAGCGCTATGGCAGTTTCTCAGCAACATGAGGGTGTTCAGGGCACTCACCCTGGAAGCGCTTGGCCGCCGCCTCCCGGAGGGAGAAGAAGATGTCACACATGACGGTCGGGCAGCTCACCCCAGACTCAGTGATGGCGTGGAAGACGCGGTCCACATACTGCCGTAGGTTCTCCTGCAACGGGACACGGCACTGGGACCCACTCCCGAGGCTGCCCACAGGTGCGTGTAGCACCAGGGCACGCCCAGGGAGGGGCGCGTGGGGAGGGGCTGAGGGCGGGCGCAGGGCAGCTGCGGCAGTGAGACACGTGTGAACAGCCACTCCCTGGAAATCTGTGCTGGGAGCTGTGGCAATTCACGCGTGAAAATCACTACACAGGCACCACGTCGGCTCCCCGGCTCGGCCCCGACCTCGTTTACTGAGTGGGGAATGGACGTTCACTAGAATGTGCCTGCCCAAGGCAAAGAGCTCTGTCATTTACATACAGAAATGACGAAACAGCACGCTCTGCAAGAAGTATCATGTGAAGTGACTAAAATGTTGGAGCAAGTTCAACATCAGGGAGTTTTGCTGTTTTAAAACGCAGTACACAGCTCTGGGGACAGCCTGGGGAGGCAGGGAGGCCATCCTGTCCTAGGAAAAGGGAGGGGCAGGAGCCATTGCCCAAGGGAAGGAGGAGCCGGGGCGGAGGCAGAGCTGGTCAGGATTGTCCAGGGGAGGCAGAGCAGGGTGTGCAGGGCAGACCCTCCGGGGGGGCAGAGCTGGGGCATGCAGACCGGATCACTCCAGGGGAGGAAGAGCTGGCCGGGACCCCCCAGGGGACGCAGAGCCCGGCACACAGGCCAGGCCAAAGGTGGTGGCTGAGGCCTCCCAGTAGTGCAGCCAGCGTACTGCAGCCGGGTGAGGCGGGTATCCCCACGCCTGGTCCTGCTCCCACCCCAACCGGGGTCACGGGGTGAGTCAGAGCTTCCAGGCAGCCATCGGCTGAAAAACCCCAAGCAGGTGACTGGCTTTGGTTGGTTCATGAACAAAACCTACCATGTTGTTTTCAAGGTTTTCTCCGTCTTTCAACTTCACAGGGTCGATTTCACAGGGTTTGTGGCTCTGGCATATCTGGGGAGAGGTTTAAGACAGGGCTCTGTGAGTGGGTTCTGGGGGCACAGGCAGGGAGGGTGGAAGGGGTCTCAGGCCTGGCTGAGATGTAGACCCTGAGCCTCATCCAGAAAATGCCACGACAGCTCCCCGAACCCGGCCACTGGCACGGAGGGGCACGGTGAGGCCGGACTGCAGGGCCACCGTGGGGTGGTGTCGTCCCGAGCCTCAGCTGCAAGGGGGCAACCCTGGGCCTGTGTCACTGGCTGCGGAGGGACAAGTGAGAGGTCAGGCGCAAACACTAGGCACGGGGCCCAGTCCATGGCCGCGATCAGACGAGCCGGGCTCTCTCAGGGAGCGATGTGCGCCCGCGATCAGACGAATCGGGCTTTCTCAGGAGTGATGTGCACCAGCCCACACGGACTAGGCCTCACAGGGCTTTAATAATATTTTTACTTCAAAATGCTGCCATGATTTTGCCCACAGAGCAAACCAGAATGCTATGTTCAATTTTCTCACATTTGCAAAGAACCTGTTTACAAACCCGCTCATAAACGGGGGGCACAGCCTGGCGGGCATCAGAGGGTCAGGTGAGGAGTGGGTGTGCGGGCATCAGAGGGTCGGGTGAGGACTGGGCGTGCAGCTCAAACATGCCACGCAGCCAGGGCCCAAACACAGGGGACTGCAGGACATGTGGAGAAAGAAGGTCTCCCTGGGAAGAGCCAGGCTTTTCTTGCATGTTCTCCTTTGTGGAGTGGTGGATTTTCTTATGTATAGTTTTAATTTGGGAGAATTTGGAAGGTTCTGGAGTACACAGGGAACATCCTCTTGATAAAAGTGAATGAATCAGCATCCCCGTGGCGAGGCCAGAGGGGCCGACATTCAAGCCCAGCTCGTGGTCTGGCTGGATCCCAGTGCAGTGCCCTCTGTTGGGGGAAATCCTCCCCACGCCTCGTGAGGCTGAGGACTCTCGGCCCCGTGCTCACCTCCTCGATGGCGGGCTTCAGGGTGACATGCAGGTAATGCATCCCCGCCAGCTTCATGGTCTCGTCGATGCACTTGGACGCCAGTGAGTTTCCTCGGAAGATGGTGTTGGGGTCCCTGGGAAATGGCGATGGGGACAGCGTTTGTCTCCTGGGGACGCGGAAGTGCAGACGGAGCAGAGCCTGGCCCCGAGCACCTGCCTGTGGGCTGTGAGGTCAGTGCACGCCCATCAGTCGGCTTCCTGACATTTTACAAGGAGCACAACCAGGCCAGGTGCTTGGAGGCCCTGGCCATGGAACCGTCCTGTGTCAACACTGCCAGAGGGAACCGTTCGGCTACCTGCGTGGCCACCAGCTCAGGAGGAGCCTGGCTGGCCTTCGCCCTCCCGCCCTCTCCCCTCTGCGGCCTCTGCCTGTGCAGAGAGTTGGGCACCAGACCCTGGCAGCATCCAAGGGCCAGCAGAGAAGCAAACCCTCCTGTCAGCTACAGTGGCTGCAGGTGCAGCCAGATGTTTCTAGAACAGGGCGTCCGGAAACAGCACTAGGCAGGTCCTGAGGGAAGCTGTGCTCCATTTTTGTGGGCTCCCAAAGTGCCCCAGGGAGGGGACCTGAGCTGTCCTCGAGCCCCAGGAGCCGTTTCCCCTCCCCACTCACTCACTCTACCCGGGATTTCAAAGGCAAATGGGACTTTCAAAAAAAAAAAAAAGAATCATTAACTGGGTCTGTGAAAGAAAACCTGAATCAACATGGTTTCTGGGGACCCTTGAATTCCCTCAAGCCCTGCCCCAGGACACGTGGTTCTCGGCGACGACCTTGCCATCCCTGTAGCGGGTCCAGGCCGCTCTCCCCCGGGGCAGGGTGGGCACTCACTGGGTCCGCTTCACCTCCGCGCTGGCGATGGCACTGATGAATGGCACCACCCTGCCATAGTGTAGGAAGAGCCGCACCAGCGGGACGGCCGCCTCCTGCTTCTCCCGGCAAACCTCGCCCAGGATGTGGGCCGCAGACGCTGACACGGGCTGCGGGGAGGGGTGAGGTCAGTGCCAGGGCCCGGGGTGCAGGAACCCCAGAGGCCTGTCCCCACCTTGGCTGGGGTCTCACTTCCAGCCACAATAGATACGGCTCTTTGCTGAGACAGAAACACACACATTCACAAAAACACCAAACTTCCCATTTGCTGCTGCTTGGCTGGACCCTTGGAGGGGCATCTGCACCTCCTTCTAGCGACCCCCCCATGCAGCCAGCTCTAGGGCCCCTGAGCCGGTAGAGGGACTCTGATGATGGGGTCCCCCTCGAACAACCCGGAGAGTCCTTAGCATCACCAGGCTCCCACGGCTCTAACTGTCGACGGACCAGTGCCCCCAGCAAAGGGGTCCAGGCATCTGGACGGGAAACAGGCCAGGCTGGGAGGCGTGGGAAAGGCCCCCTCAGGGAGAAGGTGCCCTCTGGGGTGGGCCCGGGTGTAGGGTGGGGCCCCAGGCAGGTGGCACCTCCTGCCCACACCCACAGGCCACGGCGTGGACAAGCACCTCCACATCCGCAGACTTCAACAGCAGGTCCCGCAGAGGGCTGTAATAGTCAGAAGAAAACACGTGGTCTTCCGTGTATACCACGTTCAGCCGCAGGGAGCCCAGGTCGTCTGGCTTTAGGCTCTTGCTACCATTGTCCCGGGGCTGGAGGAAGTACCTGGGTGGGAGGGACACATGGAGGGGAGGCATGAGGCTGCATCTGCCAAGGAGCAGCTCTCAGGGAAGCCCAGCTGCCTGCTTGAGGTCGACTGGTCAGGAGGGTGATCCTGTAGGACCCCTCAGAGTGCAGCCCCTGGGGACTCCCCACCGAAGACCCCCAGCAGGGCTGGTCACCGGGGATCCCCAGGAGGCAAGTGTTGGAGCCAAAGGCGCAGGAGTCAAGGGGGGAAACGCGGAGGGGGATGGGGGTGGAACGTGGCAGGAACGGGTTTCCGGGAACCGGCACAGAAGTGGTCAGTGACCCGCCCTAAGACCCACACCCAGCAGTGTCAGCAGCAGGTGGAAATGAAAATTATCTCAACCAAAGTGTGCCGTGGCTCCCGATGTCACGGGGTGGGGGCCTTGGGCTAGTGAGCCTGGCAGGCCACCTGGGCACCTGGTCATTGTAAGAGACGTTTTCTGCCCGGACATTCTTCCATCTTTGGTTCTACCCCACGCAGTCACCCAGGAGCCCTCTTCTGCTCTCATTTGTGGGCCAGGCAGTCTAAGCTCTCAGGTGGGTGGAGCCTGTGTCCGAGGCCCCGCCCCCATCAGGTGGGTGGAGCCTGTATCCAAGGCATTAGCCCCCGTCAGGTGGGTGGAGCCTGTCTGCAGCATTAGCAGCCCGGTCAGGTTGGTGGAGCCCGTGTCCGAGACATTAGCACCCCTGTCAGGTAGGTGGAGCCTGTGTCCGAGGCATTAGATCCCCCCTCAGATGGATAGAGCCTGTGCCTGAGGCATTAGCCCCCGCCAGGTGGGTGGAGCCTGTGTCTGAGACATTGGCGCCCCCGTCAGGTGGGTGGAGCCTGTGTCCGAGGCATTAGCCCCCCTCAGGTGGGTGGAGCCTGTGTCCGAGGCATTAGCAGCCCTGTCAGGTGGGTGGAGCCTGTGTCCGAGGCATTAGCCCCCCTCAGGTGGGTGGAGCCTGTGTCCGAGGCATTAGCAGCCCTGTCAGGTGGGTGGAGCCTGTGTCCGAGGCATTAGCCCCCGCCAGGTGGGTGGAGCCTGTGTCCGAGGCATTAGCCCCCGCCAGGTGGGTGGAGCCTGTGTCCGAGGCATTAGCAGCCCTGTCAGGTGGGTGGAGCCTGTGTCCGAGGCATTAGCCCCCCTCAGGTGGGTGGAGCCTGTGTCCGAGGCATTAGCCCCCCTCAGGTGGGTGGAGCCTGTGTCCGAGGCATTAGCAGCCCTGTCAGGTGGGTGGAGCCTGTGTCCGAGGCATTAGCCCCCGCCAGGTGGGTGGAGCCTGTGTCCGAGGCATTAGCAGCCCTGTCAGGTGGGTGGAGCCTGTGTCCGAGGCATTAGCAACCCCGGTCAGGTGGGTGGAGCCTGTGTCTGAGGCATTAGCCGCCCCCCATCGCCCCAGGTAGGTAGAGCCTGTGTGCGAGGCATTAGCACCCTGGGGCTCTCTGGGGTATGTGGTGGCTGCCTTGGCTACCAGGGCCAGGGATTCATTCAGCATAGGAGGAAGCCTAACTCAGCTCAGGGGGCCTGTGCCCGTGCCGTCTTCGTAGAATCAAAAGACACGCGTGTTTCACGGTTTCTGGGATGGAAACCTGCCCTCACACATGGCAGAGGGACACATGGGGTGCGAGGCCCCGGCACACAGTCCACGCCTGGGAGTGCACGCTTCCCGTGACTCCGGGCCCTCTCAGGAGCTGCCTGTCGCTAAGGGACACACATGAACTGGAGATAAAATGAAACAATGGCCTGTTCCTTCCACCAAAACACCAAGCACCTGGAGACAACAGGAAAGAAAGGCAGGAGGCAGCAACACACAACATGTCCTGGGGTGGGTTCTGGGTCAGAGCCGACCACTGAGGTCTAGACGTGCAGAGGGGAGTAGAGAACCCTGTAATGCGCCCTCAACAGGAGGTGCTGCCGAGGGCCCAGAACAAGACCCGGAGCGCAGCCGCGGCGCAGCCCTGCTGTGTGCGCATTCTGGGCTCCTGCACCGGCTGCTGATGCCCTCCCCTACTGGTGTCAGACCTCACGAGCTGCTCGCGGCTCAGGGCCCCGCTTTCACCCAGGATCAGACCCCACGAGCTGCTCACAGCTCAGGGTCCCACTTTCGCCCAGGATCAGACCCTGCGAGCTGCTCGCGGCTCAGGGTCCCACTTTCACCCAGGATCAGACCCCGTGAGCTGCTCGTGGCTTAGGGCCGCTTTCACCCACGTTCCCTGTCTTGTTTTGAGGTGCCAGCCATTGTGAGTCCCTGCTCAGTGTGATCCCTGCTGCCTCTCCTCACCTGCCATTTCTCACCTGCTGTGGGGCAGAAACTCATCAAGCCAGAGCTCGTCAGAGCTACATGCAAAGTAAGAGCAGGTGGGTGCTGGGCACAGCCGAGGACCAGCACATGTGGCCTCTGTGCCTTTCCACTCAGAGGCAGCACGTGTTTTTGTGGCTCTCAGAGATGCGGAAGTCTGCAGGTGCAACATCATCTTACCACGCCTCGTAGGAGCTGGACTGCCGCAGGACTTTCAACGGGATCCTTAGTTCTCCCAGGAATTCATCTCCAAACTTCAGGTTACTGGCATTCCAGAGGTCAACTCTGAAAAACAGCATCAGGACAGCTCTAGCTGACGGCGGGCAGCCCGTGTGGAGCAAAGATGACAGGCCACGCTTTGTTCCCCCAGGAGCAGAATGGAGCCTGCAGCGCCTCCCAGAGTCTCCATCAAGGCTCAGCCCACAGGGCACGTTTCAAACACGTCAGACCAGCCTGTGGCTTTGGAATAAAGATGAGTGTCTCCCAGTGGTAATGGGCAGGCAGAGGAAGGCGGAAGGCCATGGGCCCGGACTCAGACCCAGGCTCTTAGATAGGAGGGAGCCTGGGCATCGCTGCGTGCACCCAGAAGCTACATGACCCCAGGCTCTTACATAGGAGGGAGCCTGGGCGTCGCTGCGTGCACCCAGGAGCTACATGACCCCAGGCTCTGTGCCAGGAGGGAGCCAGGCGTCGCTCTGTGCCAGGAGGGAGCCAGGAGTTGCTGTGTGCACCCAGGAGCTATGTGGCTGCTGCCACTCTCAGCTCCAGCACCATCTGTCCCCTTTGCCCACAACAGGCCCAGCACCAGCAGTCTGTGCACGGCGGGCAAATGTAGAACCCTGTCTCCATGGATTGCTCATGATCTAGGGGCACAAAGTGGATTCAGGGGCCATGCACACCACAGCGGGGGGAGAACTGTGGCCACAAACCACAGCACGGTCCACGAATCTCCGTGACTACCGCAGGCCCAGCATTGTGAAGCTTCTGCTCATGTCTAACACAGCAGCGGCTCCCACTAATGTTCTGTCCTAGTGTGGGATGGTACGTGTCCCCTCAGACCTGGGGCTGTGAAATTCTGACAGACATACAGCATCCCCGGCTGCAACAAGTCTACAGGGCTGGTAACCCAGTCCCTCATGGCCAGGACCCACTCATAGGCCTGAAACACCTGAAGTCATGCGTGGCCAGCCCTACCCACGGGCCTGAAACCACACAGTTACACGTGGCCAGCCCTACCCAGGGGGCTAAAACTCGGCAGGCCTAACCACACTGTGGGCATCAGGGGCATCCCCCTGGAGGGAGAAGATTCCAGAAGGCTGGGGATTTTGTTACCCTTGCGAATCCTGCAGGGAAGTGGCACCACAGAGGCACTGGCATCTGGGCCGGGGAGGGCTGACAGGCTGCACAGGAACCCACAGCGCGTTCCTTTCA
Source organism: Homo sapiens (assembly GCF_000001405.40). NCBI lineage: Eukaryota > Metazoa > Chordata > Mammalia > Primates > Hominidae > Homo > Homo sapiens. The sequence continues at coordinate 114,022,655 of NC_000013.11, forward strand.
GAAGGAACATGAGGGGACCGCTGATCTGCCCATGGACACTTTAAAAAAATGTGCTGAGTGGCCAGGCAGGCGCATTTGCCTTTAATAAGGGAAATATTTAAAACATGTTTTGTGTGCTTTTAAAAAATTTAATAACTAGGACTTCACTCCTGAATTCAAAACTTGGTGTAAAAAGAAACCAACAATGGCGCTTCCTTCTCTTGAAAAAGGGGCTGGTGTGAGTCCCTGGGGAGGCAGATCTGACCGACCACGTCAGGGACATTCTATGGTTCAGGACCCTGACCCCTCAGGAGGTGGATCTGACTGACCACGTCAGGGACATTCTATGGTTCAGGATGGAGACAACTATGGGGGACGGATCTGACCGATAACATCAGGGACATTCCTACAGTTCTCAACCACAAAACCACGCCTCCCAGCAGCCGTAGGGCCTGAGCCACGCACCGGCTCCACGTGTCCCATTAAGGGTCCCCCCAGGGCAGTGTTAGCCCCTGGGAGGGAGGGTGACCAGGGATTTGATGGCCAGCACATTCTCCAAAATGACCTAAAGAAAGCAGGTGCATCCCAGGCTCAGGGACATCCCAGGCTCGGGGACATCCCAGGCTCGGGGAACATCCCAGGCTCGGGGAACATCCCAGGCTTGGGGGCATCCCAGGCTCAGGGAACATCCCAGGCTCGGGGGCATCCCAGGCTCGGGGGCATCCTAGGCTCGGGGTCTCAGGGCCGGCTGGGGAGGGTCAGGAGGGAGCCGTTTCCTTCCTTCTCTGTCCAGCATGGGAAGATTCGGGGGCTTCAGGGGAGGCTCATCTGCCTCTTCATAGGGAATGGAGGCATTCGTTGGTACAGAAGGAACAGAGGCTACGTTCAAAAATAAACAGGAATCCAGCTTATTTTCACTGGGAGGAGGGAACCCGCCGGGGTTTGTGAAGGGCACATTCTGACGCCTGCCCTCCCCAGAACTCTGAGTCAGCGGGATCGTGGGGCTCTCTAAATCCTGGGCCTGAGATCGCGTCCTGACCTGCGTGAACCCACAAGCGATTTCCCCGTTTCCCGTGGGAGGCGTTGAGGAGCCAGGAAAGGGCGGTGGGGGCTCCATGGGCAAAGGCTGAAGATGCAGCTTCTATGACCATACACAGGAAACATGAACCCAGGACGCCAGGTGAGAGTGTTTCACTCGAGTCAAAGGGGACAGGGTCTCCACAGAGGCCACCCAGCCGAGAGTTTCAGCAGTGCCAGTGGGTCCTGCTCGGTCAGGGCCAGGCGTCGTGCTGACCCGCCAGGCCCTGCGACCTCTGAGTGAGGCCTGAACCCATGGAAGGCGGAGGGCTTAGAACAAGACCTTAAGAACGGCTGCAGCCCCCGTCACTCCAGGTGGATGAAGCCTTACGGCCAGAGGGATGCGGACCTCTGGCTTTCGCCTCTTCGCAGGTATTGCAAGGTGAGCCCTAACACCACCCACAGGCTGTCACTTCAACTACAACTTCTAACATCCTGTTGTGAAAATTACCAAGAAAATGGAAATTCATTTCTATCTATGACCCTATATTTAGTAACAAAGAACAAAAGAGCTGAGGAGTTTGGGTGAAAACTGCCAAGTTGGGGACGCGGAGCCTGGTTTTCTCACCTGATTTCGAGCTTGTCCACGTCTTCCTCCTCAAAGTCAAAGTGGGACTTCTTGCTGTAGCTACAGGGCCGGGTCACCTGGAGTCAGACGAGAGAGAAAGCGCTGAGACCGCGGTGCCACCAGGCGGGGGTATATGCGGACCTAGGCCCCGGGCTGCCCTACCCTCTGCGCTTACCCACACACCACTCAAGGGCCACAACCAGGAAGGCGCCAGGCGGGATTCGGGATTCAGGCCTGGCTTCCTGAGTGCCAGCATTTCCTACTCACGGCGCCCCTGGAGGGGCAGACCCAGGTGAGACCTGCCCCAAGGCTGTTCACGGCCACGGCCGGACTCTCCCAGTGGCTCCTGATGGGTGCCGGGCTCTGGGTACCTAAATGTCCGTCACCTGCGCCTGCTCTGGGCCTGCCACCCCGTGAGGGAGGGAGGGTCCCCTCTGCCGTGGAGACGAAGCCAGCGCCGCCCTCCCGTGGCCCCACCTCAAGGCTCTATTTGCCAACAGGAAGTGAAACGCGTGAGGTCTGTGGAGCCTGAACCTGGCCGGCCCCGAACAGGCCCCAGCACTCCAGGGAGGGTCAGACGGTGGAAAGTCAAGACGCTGCTACCTTCCTCCTGACACCTCCGCACCGTGGGTTCCTTAGAACAGAAACGGAGTGAAGGCGTGAAGGGTCGAGGCTCCGGGACCGCCCCCCGCCAGCCAGCAGGGCCCTTGCAGCAGAGCAGGAGGCCGACCCACAGGCTCCAGGAGACAGTGGTTATCACCTGGAGTTCCGATTTAACCACCATCAGCCGTGCACCAGGTCACCTGCGTTTACAAGAAGGGCTCCGTCCTGCCCGGCCTCCCTCCCTGCCCCCCCTTCTCCGGGCCTCAGCAGTGATGCTGGCTCAGGAGCTCTCAGCTCGAAGTTCTGATGTAAGGCTTGACACCAAAATCATGTTGCTAAAACTGCCTAACCTCTGAGCTTGCACTTCCTGATTGGTAAACTGAGGTGAAGATCACGCAGGGGCAGTTCTCTGCTTCGGGTTGAGGGCTGCTGACGCCTCCTCCTTCCTGACCTACACACCACTGTCCAAAAATTTGCTTCCCCCCAACTTCCCCATCTCACAAAACTCAGGTCAGGCAATGCCTCCTCCAGGAAGCCCCCAGTGCCCCTGCCTCATGCCCTCTCTGCAGGGCAGGTCAGGCAATGCCTCCTCCAGGAAGCCCCCAGTGCCCCTGCCTCACGCCCTCTCTGCAGGGCAGGTCGGGAGCTATTGTAGGGGCTTGTCTGTTTGCATCCCTCCCATGCTGGCCTGGTGTGGTGGCCTTGGACTCCTCTGTTTTCTGCCACATCTTATCACCAGCTGATCACCAGCACGGTGCTGGCACCTGACACGTGTTGAGTGAATGAAGGCAGCTCCTACCAAATTTATGAGATTATTTAATCTCATTTAGAGAGTTAAAGGGTCTTAATGTGTCTAGTTGTTATCCTGGAAGAAAATGGTACAGACGCTGCTTCCCATAGAAACGGAACATCTGTTTTCCTGGGTCTGCTCCCAGTAGGTGGCTGTCTGACCACAGCCCGCGGGGGATGTGCTCCCTCCCCGGGGCTCAGCCTCCAGCTGGGTCAGAAGCAGCTGAAGCCGAAAGAGACAGAGTCCTGGTGAAAGAGGTCTGCTAAGGAAGGGGAGGAGACGGAGTGAAAGGTCACAGAGCCCAAAGAGCAGGGCCCCGCGCGTCCCACACAGCAGCGGTCAGCGAGGTCCGGGCCTTCCCTGGAGCCCCACAGGTGGTGACGCAGACCATGGTTTTCAGACTGTCTGTGGTCACTAAATTGCTCCTGTAGGCTGAGACCCACGTCTTTACAGAGTGAAACAGGAGTGCACACAGTAGAAACAGCATGAGAACACTGCAAGCGTGATGAGCACCCGTGTGTGGCCGGGCAGTGGGCGAGCTCTACCCCACTGTGTGTATGACAGCTCTGTGTGTGGCAGCCAAGCCAGCAGCCGAGGCGGGGGGAGCTGCCACCTGGAACTCGGTCCATGCTGCATGCCTCCTGCACCTCCAACAGGGCCCACCCTCCCCCTGGGAGCCTGGCAGCTCCCTGCCTTCCCTCGCTCTGGCAAAACCATCTTCTCCGCCTGTCTATAAGTGAGGCTTCCGTTTGAGACAGAGAACAGATTCCACCTCTAAAGCCCTCCTCACAGTGGCCCTGAAAGCCTGGCCCTGGCTTTGGACACCAAGTTCCCACCTCTGCCTGTGGGGCCCTTTCGAGCCTCAGCAGTGCCAGTGGGTCCTACTCAGTCAGGACCCACTGACCGGTAGGTCCACTCTCCTACGGTCCCCTGAGAGCTGCATGCATCGAGCCCCACTCAGCCATCATGGCTCAGGGGAGCCCGCCCGACCCCTCAGATGTGACTGGCCATGCTCTTGCCACAGAGGCCTCATCCATCCTCACATCTCCAGGGCCTGTGCACCGGAATGTTTGTGGATGGGAAGAACATCTGCCTAAAGGCCCTGCACACAGCTGTCCCCAAACCGCACCGGCCACATGGCAGGTCCTCACTCCACGAGATGCAGCCATCCCAAACGGGGTCACATTCCACCAGGTGCACCCTTGCACCCTCCTTTTCATGGATTTTGGTGCTTCATGTTCTGAGAGGATCTCTGTGTCTGAATCCTTTCCCCTTTGTTTCAAAACCCTGCCTATTTCCACTGGAACAAGCCTTCCGCCTCTCAGGGATGCTTGGGCAGAGCAGCCAAAAAAACAAAAACCCCCAAGGTCCTGGTAATTTGGAAAGCATTAATCTGTCATCTTTTAACTCAAATCTGGGCCAGTTCGGGAGACAACGAATGACCTTTCTCTCTTGGGAGAGGAGGGAAGGTCCTGTGGCCACGGGTCCAATCCCCAGGGCTGGCTGGCTGGGCTCGCTCCTCTCCGGAAGGAACCCAGGGCCGGCCGGCGGGGCTCGCTCCTCTCCGGAAGGAACCCAGGGCCGGCTGGCGGGGCTCGCTCCTCTCCGGAAGGAACTTCCAGAGGGAAGAGACTGAGATCATTCTGGATCCAGACTTTCTGCCAACGTGTCTCGGGTGCAGAGTTTCCACTTAACGTTGACCCATGAAGATACCAACCTCAAAATAAAACACTTCATCGAACTGGGGATTGTTGGTCTTCCTCTTCACTTTCGTCTTCTTTGCTTCTGATCTGTTATCAAGTGAGAAAGGATTGGGATTAAAACAACACTGCTGATTCCAAGTCTCTCAGTGGTAAAACCGAGCTCTCAAATGCACAAGTCACTTATTGGCTTTATTTATTTTATAAATATTTCTGCTGGTCTCCAACTCCAGATGGTATGCAAATCAGGAACCTTTACTCAGCCAAAAATACCCAGCGTGAAGAGCATGAAGGCTTCATTTTCTACAAAGCAATTTTGGAGCAATAAAGAAAACAAAAGGAAGTAAAAATTCACATTCTACCTCAAAGCGCAACCTCCTGACTCCTCCCAAATGAGGCAGTGGTCTCGTGATTTCAGAGCTGGACCCTAGCCCCCCAGGACCAGAACAGAAACCTGAAGCGTGAGGCAACTTGCCTGAAGGGTCCTGCCAGCGTCACGGTGGCGTAGGGGTCACATTGCCCATTCACGATGGGGAGGCCCTGGCACTCGACGATGCTGAGGAGAGAAGCAGAGGCGGCGTCAGGAGGGAGCGCAGACACCTGGGCGAATGGCGAGACAGCTCTGGGTCAGGCAGGAGGCCTGAGTTCAAGCTGTGAGATGAGGTTTCCTCACCGGAAGGCAGGGAGGGCCACACCAGCCATTCTGCCTCGGTGTGACGCTGAATCACGCTGGCCATTCACAAAAGCCCAAAACAACACCTCTAAGGTGAGCATGTGCTTTAGCGTGGACGCCAGCAGTGTGTGACAGCACATCTAAAGCAGCGTCATCGGGGGGGCGGGGGGCAGGACCCCTAAAACAGTGTCATCCTGGGGGCCAGGACCCCTAAAACAGCATCATCTGGGAGCCAGGACCCCTAAAACAGTGTCATCTGGGAGCCAGGATCTCTAAAACAGCGTCATCCTGGGGGCCAGGACCCCTAAAACAGTGTCATCCTGGGGGCCAGGGCCCCTAAAACAGCATCATCTGGGAGCTAAGACCTCTAAAACAGCATCATCCTGGGGGCCAGGACCCCTAAAACAGCGTCATCTGGGAGCCAGGACCCCTAAAACAGTGTCATCTGGGAGCCAGGACCTCTAAAACAGCGTCATCCTGGGGGCCCAGAACCTCTAAAACAGCGTCATCCTGGAAGGGGGCCAGAACTTCTAAAACAGCATCATCCTGGGGCAACCTCTAAAACGGCATCATCCTGGGGGCCAGGACCTCTAAAACAGCATCATCCTGGGGCCAGGACCTCTAAAACAGTGTCATCCTGGGGCCAGGACCTCTAAAACGGCATCATCCTGGGGCCAGGACCTCTAAAACGGCATCATCCTGGGGCCAGGACCTCTAAAACAGTGTCATCCTGGGGCCAGGACCTCTAAAACGGCGTCATCCTGGGGCCAGGACCTCTAAAACGGCATCATCCTGGGGGCCAGGACCTCTAAAACGGCATCATCCTGGGGCCAGGACCTCTAAAACAGTGTCATCCTGGGGCCAGGACCTCTAAAACGGCATCATCCTGGGGCCAGGACCTCTAAAACGGCATCATCCTGGGGCCAGGACCTCTAAAACGGCATCATCCTGGGGCCAGGACCTCTAAAACGGCATCATCCTGGAGGCCAGGACCTCTAAAACGGCATCATCCTGGGGCCAGGACCTCTAAAACGGCATCATCCTGGGGGCCAGGACCTCTAAAACGGCATCATCCTGGGGCCAGGACCTCTAAAACGACGTCATCCTGGGGGCCAGGACCTCTAAAACAGCTTCATCCTGGTGGGCCAGGACCTCTAAAACGGCGTCATCCTGGGGGCCAGGACCTCTAAAACGGCATCATCCTGGGGCCAGGACCTCTAAAACGGCATCATCCTGGGGCCAGGACCTCTAAAACGGCATCATCCTGGGGGCCAGGACCTCTAAAACGGCATCATCCTGGGGCCAGGACCTCTAAAACGGCATCATCCTGGGGCCAGGACCTCTAAAACGACGTCATCCTGGGGGCCAGGACCTCTAAAACGGCATCATCCTGGGGGCCAGGACCTCTAAAACGGCGTCATCCTGGGGGCCAGGACCTCTAAAACGGCGTCATCCTGGGGGCCAGGACCTCTAAAACGGCGTCATCCTGGGGGCCAGGACCTCTAAAACAGCATCATCCTGGTGGGCCAGGACCTCTAAAACGGCGTCATCCTGGGGGCCAGGACCTCTAAAATGGCGTCATCCTGGTGGGCCAGGACCCCTAAAACAGCATCATCCTGGTGGGCCAGGACCTCTAAACAGTGTCATCCTGGGCAGCCACCGGCTCTGGAAATTCTTGTGCGTTGGTGTGAAAACCCCTGTGTGCTCCTCGGGAGCCAGACATGCCACTCGCTGTGCGCTCGGTCTCTAGTGAGGACGTGTCTTACCGTGTGGCGAGCTTGTGGCAGACGACCCCAGTGTCTGTGATGACCTCGCTCAGCCGCAGCTCCAGGTGCACTTTGCCCTGCAAGGCACAAGGATGGGGTGTCAGAGGCTGTGGCGCTGCTCCCACAGGCCACTAGGGCCGCGCGCCCAGGGAAAGCCTAGAGGGCAAAGGGAGCAGGCGGCCCCGCCCTGCCCTGGCCAATGGGCACGTCCAGCCCCTCCACTCCACCCCCGGGACGCAGGGTCCCAGCTGTGGCCTTTCTCCAGGAGAGCTGCTTGCCTGACTGCTCAGCCCCATGTGGCTGCCCAGGCTCCTGGCTCTGCTGAGAGCAGGTCGCTGCCTCAGAAGTGAGGGGTCCAACCGTGTAGGAGACGGTCATTCAGTGAAGCAGACCCCCAAAGGCTCTGATGCTGCAGGCTGCTCGTGTGTCCGTCGGGACAAACCAGAGGGGAAGCACAGCTGTCTCCCAAGCAGGGGCCACTGCCTTTACCTCCCCTCGGGCGAGGCCGGATGGAGGCCCGCAGGAACCTCGGAGAGCTCACACAGAGGGCAAGGCTCACACAGAGGGCAAGACTCACACAGGAGGCAAGACTCACGCAGAGAGCAAGACTCACACAGAGGGCAAGGCTCACACAGAGGGCAAGGCTCACACAGAGGGCAAGGCTCACACAGAGGGCAAGACTCACACAGAGGGCAAGACTCACACAGAGAGCAAGACTCACACAGAGGGCAAGACTCACACAGACAGCAAGGCTCACGGGGGCTTCTAGCAGAGCAGACAGCAAGGCTGCCCTGCGGGTCCACCTGTCTCTCTAGATCAGTCTGTCTGTGTGTGCTGCTGTGTCCATCCACCTGTCTGTCTGTGTGCACGGCTGTGGGTGTGTGTCCACCTGTCTGTGCGTACAACTGTGTGTCTGCCTGTGTGCGTGCGGTTTGTGTGTGCAGCTGTGTATGTGAGCATGCTGCTGTGTGTGCATGTCCACCTGTATGTGTGTCCGCCTGTGTCTGTGCATCTGGCTGTGTGTGTGCAGCTGTGTGTCCTCCTGTGTGTGCGGCTGTGTGTCTACCTGTGTGCGTGCAACTGTGTGTGTCTATGTGTGTCTGCCTATGCATGCATGCGACTATGTGTGTCCATCTGTGCTGCTGTGTGCGTGTCTGCCTGTGTAGCTGTGTGTCCGCCTGTGTGTGCGGCTGTGTGTCTGCCTGTGTGCGTGCAACTGTGTGTCCATCTGTGTGTGGCTGTGTCCACCTGTGTGCATGCGACTGTGTGTCTACCTGTGTGTGCATGTGATTGTGTGTATCTGCTTGTATGTGTCCACCTGTGTGCATGTTCGCCTGTGTGTGCATGCAGCTGTGTGTGTCTGCCTGTCTGTGCATGTGGCTATGTGTCTGTGTGGGCGTGCGATTGTGTGTGCGTGTCCGTCTGTGTGCACACGGCTGTGTGTCTGCCTGTGTTTGCATGAAACTGTGTGTGTCTGCCTGTCGGTGTCTGCCTGTCTGTATGTGCATCTGCCTGTCTGTGTGTTTGGCTGTGTGTGTCCTTCTGTGTGTGTGTGCGACTATGTGTGCATGTCTGTCTGTGTGCAAGCAGCTGTGTGTGCATCTGCCTGTATGTGCATGCAACTCTGTGTGTGTCTACCTGTCTGTAGTGTGTGGCTGTGTGCATGTCCTTCTGTGTGTGTGCGCGACTGTGTCTGCCTGTCTGTGCGCGTGGCTGTGTGTCCACCTGTGTATGTGTGTTTGTCCGCCTGTCTGTACATGCGACTGTGTGTGCATGTCTGCCTGTGTGTGCACCGCCTGTGTGTATGTGTGACTGTGTCCACCTGTGTGTGTGTGCGGCTATGTGTGCCTACCTGTGTGTGCCGCTGTCCCTGTATTTGCTCCAGCCTGAATGGCAATGAATGGATGGGATAAACACAGACTCATCCATGCTTCAGGGGCTCTGCCTGGCCCGGCCCTTAGCTCTAGCTCCTGAGGCTCCGGGAAGGCCAAGGCGTGTTCCCCAGGGCTTGTCCCTGCCTGTGGGAGGGTGGGACAGACGGGCAGAATGCCTGGCGCTAAGACGTGGACGGCAGAACCGACAGCAGCCCTGCAGCACGTGGCCTGGTGCAGAACCTCGGATGGAGCAGGGACCTCGCTTAGGCCCCACCCACCTAAATGATTAAAAAACCTTCGAGTTCCTTCAAAAATATATCAGACACCTAGCCAGCCTTGAGTGGTAAATCACCTAACAAGCAAAATAAATAATAAAATAATAGCCAAAAAATTAGTCAGGAGATATTTATTCCCTATACAAGTTAAAAATAGCATCTTAACATATGTCCCTAAATTGTTTTTCAAAAACCGAGACCCTCACCAAACAGATCTACCAACACAGACCACAAATGCAGGGGGGATCACAGGCCCGAACCCTGAACCCGGCTCTATTCTGAATTTCTTCCTCAGGGGCCAGGAGGGGTCATGCCTGTGGGCCAGAGCCAACATTCTTTTCTGCTGATCTCAATTGTTTGGACAAAGCTTCTCCTCCTTAACCAATCACAAATCAAAAACGCTCTATATCCGACCCATGGGCCACACGTCGTGATGTCTGCCTTCTCAGGTCAAACTGACATACGGCCTCCATGTACTGATTTATGACTTTGCCACAACCTCAGCCTCCCCACCTTCTGAAACCCTTGCCTGTGAACCCTCGGGGTGCCTGGGTCGTGGGCGCAGCCTGCCCTGCCAGGGTGCACACCCCGAAGCCCCTGGTCAGGGAGTGGAACATAAAGCCCTTCAGCCCTCACTTGACACCGCGTCGGTGCAGCCCCACGGCACCCCCACACTTGATACTATGCCCCACGGCACCCCCACACTTGGCACCACGTTCCACGGCACCCCCACACTGACAACACGTCCCACGGCACCCCTACACTTGACACCACGTTCCATGGCACCCCCACACTGACACCACGCCCCACGGCACCCCCACACTGACACCACGCCCCACGGCACCCCCACACTGACACCACGCCCCACGGCACCCCCACACTTGATACCACGTTCCACGGCACCCCCACACTGACACCACACCCCACAGCACCCCCACACTTGATACCATGCCCCACAGCACCCCCACACTTGACACCACGTTCCACGGCACCCCCACACTGACACCACACCCCAAAGCACCCCCACACTTGATACCATGTTCCACGGCACCCCCACACTTGATACCACGTTCCACGGCACCCCCACACTGACACCACACCCCACAGCACCCCCACACTTGATACCATGCCCCACAGCACCCCCACACTTGACACCACGTTCCACGGAACCCCCGCACTGACACCACACCCCACGGCACCCCCACACTGACACCACGCCCCACGGCACCCCCACACTGACACCACGCCCCACAGCACCCCCACACTTGACACCACGTTCCACGGCACCCCCACACTTGACACCACGTTCCATGGCACCCCCACACTGACAACACGCCCCACGGCACCCCCACACTTGATACCACGTTCCACGGCACCCCCACACTGACACCACACCCCACAGCACCCCTACACTTGACACCACGTTCCATGGCACCCCCACACTTCATACCATGTTCCACGGCACCCCCACACTGACACCACGCCCCACGGCACCCCCACACTGACACCACGCCCCACGGCACCCCCACACTGACACCACGCCCCACGGCACCCCCACACTGACACCACGCCCCACGGCACCCCCGCACTGACACCACGTTCCACGGCACCCCACACTTCATACCACGTTCCACGGCACCCCCACACTTGACACCACGCCCCACGGAACCCCCACACTTGACACCACGTTCCACGGCACCCCCACACTGACACCACGCCCCACGGCACCCCCACACTTGACCCAGCGCTCACAGGGGGAATGGAACTGGGTCTGTGCTGCCCAGGCAGGTGTGGGAGGTGGGGCCTCCGCTGCTGTCCTGAGACTCTGGGGTCTGGAGGTTGGGTGTGGCCTTCCCGCCCTGTGGCTGCAGCCCCAGAGCAGGTCCTGAGGGGCCACAAGGATGTTGGGCCGGGAAGGTGGGCATGAACCCCACGCCAGCACTGTGGGCGGGGAAAACAGGTGCCTAAAATGACAACAAAGACCCCACCAAGACCACAGCTCCTCTTCCCACACCCATCAGAGCTCAGGGCTGAGCGGAGTATCGCCTGTGGTCCTCACCGCCTGGCAGCGGGCCTGCTATCCGTGGCTATCCATGGGCTAAAGGAGTGCCCTGAACACCAGCCGGGCAGTGGGCCTGCTATCCGTGGCTATCCACGGGCTAAAGGAGTGCCCTGAACACCAGCCGGGCACTGGGCCTGCTATCCGTGGCTATCCACGGGCTAAAGGAGTGGCCTGACCACCAAAGACAGGAGAAAGTGCCTGACCCAAGAATAACCAAGAATCCCCACTGCTTCATCCCCGTTCTCAAATGCCGGGCGCAAACTCTCTCAGGACAGAAGCGTTCAGATTTGCAAGGCTGTGCAGACGGAGGTAGCTCTATTCACATTCGGGAGCTTCAGGAAGAGTCACGACTGCATGTGGGGGGTCCTGGTCCCCAGCAGCAGGCTGTGTGGCCCCCGTGTGCTCTCCCGGCCCCTGGCAGCAGGCTGTGCGGCCCCCGTGTGCTCTCCCGGCTCCTGGCCGGGTCCAGGGGCACCTGGCTGGTCACCATCAGGTCCTGAGGCTGCTCCTGTTCCTGCAGCATGAATCCCTCCTGACCAGCTGACTTGTGTGCTTTCGTCTTCTGCTGATTCAGGAGTGGGAACAAACAAAACCCACCCCTGGAAGGCCCTTTCTCCTGCCAGAAAAGCCAATGAGTAAATCTGCAGGTGCTGGCGCAGGCTGGAGAATCCCAGACATTTAGAGGTTAAACAACACAGTTCTAAATAACACACAGATCAGAGAACGCAAGACAAATTTTAAAATGTTCCGGAATAAACAGAAATGAAAGTGTTACTCATCAAAATCAGTGGGATGAAGCGGGAGCCGTGCTCGGGGTGGAGGGGAATCTGGAGTGCCGGCCACACAGACTAGAGCAGAAGGGAGATCTGAACGCTGACCTGAGCTTAGAGCAGAAGGGAGATCTGAACGCTGACCTGAGCTTAGAGCAGAAGGGAGATCTGAACGCTGACCTGAGCTTAGAGCAGAAGGGAGAGCTGAACGCTGACCTGAGCTTAGAGCAGAAGGGAGATCTGAACGCTGACCTGAGCTTAGAGCAGAAGGGAGATCTGAACGCTGACCTGAGCTTAGAGCTGGGAGACTGAGAAAAATGAGTAAACTAAACCCAGAGCCCAAGAACAGAAAACAGAAGTCAGATCGGAAACCAATAGGTAAAAATCAAAGCCAACGGCAAATTCCTTGAGAGATCAATAAAATTAATAAACCTCAAACCAGGCTACTAAGAGCAAAAGGGAAAAGGCACAAATTCCCACAGGAAAGGAACGAGAGGACCTGGCTGCCGACCCTGGCACCTGCCTGGACGCTGCACTGAGGTCCCTGGCGCTGCACTCCTGCGAACTCACAGACGCAGCAAAGGGGCCCCAGCGTCCAGCTCCTGACAACGTGTGGCTGCAGTGTCACCCATGGGGCCCTGGGCGGGGGCTGCTGAGGGGTGTATGGAAACTCTGTACTCTGCTCAATTTCCCTGTGAACACAGAACTGCCCCCAAAACAGAGTTAATTAATTTTTAAAAAGCAGCCAATGGTCCCTATCCATCTTTCTCAGGAAGGCCTTCCCCAGGGAGAGAGCAGCGCGCAGAGCCGGGTCAGGGTCCTGGCCCCACCCACCGGTTGCCGTGTCCCCCACTGAGCGGGCAGCGGCCCAGAGAGCAGCCAGGACAGAGGTGCCTTGGATGCAGGACTGTTCCACGCCGGCCGCAGAGAGGAGACGAAGTCCGCGGGCAGATGAGACAGGATGCAGAGGCCATGAGGAAGGAAGCCCAGCCTCGGCCGTCTCCTCTTACAACCCTGGAGAGATGTGAAAGCTTGACGACGGACGGTGACTTTGTTTGCTCCGAAAATCCTTCCAAGAGGACTGTCTGCTGCACAAACACAAAATTCCCAGAGGCTGTAGCAGGAGGCTGGAATTTCCAGCCCAGTGAGATTTCACGGTGCAACTGGAAGGCTCCAAGGGGGAAACACGTAGGTGTCTCTTGGGCGGATGGCAGACCCAGGGGTTTGCTGTGATCCCCTGCAGGGCTGTGCTATTTTCTGAATACGTCACAGATGCACTTGAAAGCCTGGTTTATAAACGGAGCTCAGTGACCCCCAGGCGCCCAGATCACCGCGGATGCCTCGCTGTCACAGGCGGTGCCCTCGCTGGCATCTGACGCTGGCATCTCCCCCACTGGCATCTGACGCTGGCGTCTCCCCCGCTGGCCCTGCATCAGGGGAGGGTCAGAGAGCACAACTCTGCATAATAAAGTGATTTAACAAAGACTTTCCAACAGTGGCCGTTCCAGAAGGAAGCAAGAAAGGTTTAATTGTGTTTCCCCCATTTCTGTGACTCACTTGCTGGCCTCCCCCATGGGCTGCTTCTGTGACACTCGCTGTCCGGACACAGGACTGTTCCTGGGAATCACAGAGCGGAGGGACTCATGGAGCCACATGGCTACCCCCTGCCTTCCTGAAAATGGTCACTGTGACATCTTATGATGAAACGGCGGCTCCTGAGACTGGAGTTGTGGGGTTTTTTTTCTTCTTCTTCTTCTTTTTTTGAGATGGAGTTTCACTCTTGTTGCCCAGGCTGGAGTGCAATGGCGCGATCTCAGCTCACAGCAACCTCCGCCTCCCGGGTTCAAGCGATTCTCCTGCCTCAACCTCCGGAGTAGCTGGGATTACAGGCATGCGCCACCACGCCCGGCTAATTTTGTATTTTCAGTAGAGACGGGGTTTCACCATGTTGGTCAGGCTGGTCTCAAACACCTGACCTCAGGTGATCCACCCGCCTCGGCCTCCCAAAGTGCTGGAATTACAAGCATGAGCCACCGCGCCCAGCCTGGAGTTGAGGTTTTAAAGGTTGGCTGGAGTCCAGCAGGGCCACTGCTCCCTGTCACGCTACGTTTTGGGCGGCGTTGGGGCTGACTGCATCAGTGAAGCAACGCATTGGAGAGCAGCGGGCATTGGAGAGCAATGACCTTGCCTCCTCCCTTTTAGACAACAGCTCGCATTTGCCTTCCATAAAGTGCAAATTCCCGGGAGACTGACACCACTCGGTTCAGGATCCTCATGTTCCGGACAGTGAGAGTCAGGCTTGGAGGACGCTGGGCTTGGCCACGGGTACGCAGCCTCGGGCGTTAATTATGAGATTCCACCAGCTGTGAGATCAACCTGCGGCATTCTTATTTACAGCTTTGTGGAGATGCAACGTCTGAGTCCTGATCGTCATGGTGGTTACACTATCTACCCTGTGATGAAGTTGCACCGACTGTCACAACAGCCCATCGGCAGGTGACTGGAGCAACAGCACACGCTTCGCACCTCGGACCATTCCTCAGCCTTGGAAGGAAGGAGGTTCTGATACCACAAGCGACCCGGAGGATGTCACGCAGAGCGACATTAGCCTCAGAAAGACCAGCAGGGTAGAGCTCACTCCCATGAGCCACGGGGAGTGGCCTGCGTCAGAGACAGAGTGCCATGGGGCTGCCGGTGGGGAAGGGGCGGACGGGAGCGTGTGAATAAAACTCTAGCCAGGGGACAGAGGGGACGGAGGTTCCGTTTTGCAAGATGAAAGGAGCTCTAGAGATGGGTGGTGGTGACGGTTATACAATATTATGAATATATTCAATGCTATACCACTGAATTGGACATTTTAAATGGTTAAAATGGTAAATTTCATGTCTCTGTTTTACCACATAAAAAACTGGAAAAAATAGCATAGAATACACAGAGAGACACACACAGAAACACGTGCCTGTGAACTGGTGAAATCTGGATAACATCCGTGGACTGCACAAACGTCGGCGTCCTGGTTGACGTTGCACCAGCTGCGCATGGCAGTGCCTGGGGAAGCCGGGAGAAGGGAGCACAGCCTTCTGTTTGGGGAAGCCAGGAGAAGGGAGCACGGCCGTCCGTTCGGGGGAGCCGGGAGAAGGGAGCACGGCCTTCCGTTCGGGGGAGCCGGGAGAAGGGAGCACGGCCTTCCGTTTTCAGGGAAAGGTGGGAATTCGCCCCTCGCCACTCCTGTGTACTGTTTTGATGCCTTCCTATAGATCTATAACCATTTCAAAATTAAATCAGTAAAAAAAAAAAAAAGGCAAGAAAGAGGAAAAGCTACACCTGCCAATAAAACCAAACTTGAATCCGAGGCAAACGACGAGGCCGCACTCTGCCAGCTGCTCAGAGGCCGTTGTGACGGAGACCCCAGCGACGGCGGGTATCCCAGAATAGAAGAGCTGGGGAACTCGCCGACACGCAGGCGGGAGCGGCCCAGTCACCAAGCCCCGTCTCCCGGGCAGCACGTGGGAAACCCCGCCTTTCTGCCGGGACGCCAAGGTCCGTGGGAGCAGCACGCTGGGGCCCTTGTGCTCCGGGGATGCGAGGACAGTCATTAGTTCTGCAGTAATCACAGCGTCCTTCACTTTCCACAGCACGTGTGGGTTCCCCAGCCAGTGCTTTCCCAGGAAGCAGAGTTAATTAAGTGTGACGCACAATTAGCACAGGTCCCTTGGGGCAGGGCCATCCCCAGGGCTTCTTGGCTCCACTCCTTAATTTCCGTCAAGGGCCTCACCCCACCCCCACAGCTGGGCTCATGGTCAACTTCATGAATGAACCCTTTGCTGGCCATGGGCGTGTGCACAGCTCATGACCTTGGCAAATGGCAACCTTGACCCAGTGA